>NC_000006.12:97646547-97798062 GCF_000001405.40 Homo sapiens | reverse complement strand
GTCTTGGGAGGGTGTATGTGTCGAGGAATTTATCCATTTCTCCTAGATTTTCTAGTTTATTTGCATAGAGGTGTTTATAGTATTCTCTGATGGTAGTTTGTATTTCTGTGGGATCGGTGGTGTATCTCCTTTATCATTTTTTATTGTGTCTATTTGATTCTGCTCTCTTTTCTTCTTTATTAGTCTTGCTAGTGGTCTATCAATTTTGTTATCTTTTCAAAAAACCAGCTCCTGGATTCATTGATTTTTTGAAGGGTTTTTTGTGTCTCTATCTCCTTCAGTTCTGGTCTGATCTTAGTTATTTCTTGCCTTCTGCTAGCTTTTGAAAGTGTTTGCTCTTGCTTCTCTAGTTCTTTTAATCGTGATGCTAGGGTGTCAATTTTAGATCTTTCCTGCTTTCTCTTGTGGGCATTTAGTGCTATAAATTTCCCTCTACACACTGTTTTAAATATGTCCCAGAGATTCTGGTATGTTCTGTATTTGTTCTCATTGTTTTCAAAGAACATCTTTATTTCTGCCTTCATTTCATTATGTACCCAGTAGTCATTCAGGAGCAGGTTGTTCAGTTTCCATGTAGTTGAGCAGTTTTGAGTGAGTTTGTTAATCCTGAGTTCTAGTTTGATTGCACTGTGGTCTGACAGACAGTTTGTTATAATTTCTGTTCTTTTACATTTGCTAAGGAGTGCTTTACTTCCAACTATGTGGTCAATTTTGGATCACGTGTGGTGTGCTGCTGAGAAGAATGTATATTCTGTTGATTTGGGGTGGAGAGTTCTGTAGATGTGTATTAGGTCTTCTTGGTGCAGAGTTGAGTTCAATTCCTGGATATCCTTGTTAACTTTCTGTCTCGTTGATCTGTCTAATGTTGACAGTGTGGTGTTAAAGTCTCCCATTATTATTGTGTGGGAATCTAAGTCTCTTTGTAGGTCTCTAAGGGCTTGCTTTATGAATCTGGGTGCTCCTGTATTAGGTGCATATATATTTAGGATAGTTCGTTCTTCTTGTTGAATTGATCCCTTTACCATTATGTAATGGCCTTCTTTGTCTCATTTGATCTTTGTTGGTTTAAAGTCTGTTTTATCAGAGACTAGGATTGCAACCCCTGCCTTTTTTTGTTTTCCATTTGCTCGGTAGATCTTCCTCTATCCCTTTATTTTGAGCCTATGTGTGTCTCTGCATGTGAGATGGGTTTCCTGAATACAGCACACTGATGGGTCTTGACTCTTTATACAATTTGCCAGTCTGGGTCTTTTAATTGGAGTATTTAGCCCATTTACATTTAAGGTTAATATTGTTATGTGTGAATTTAATCCTGTCATTATGATGTTAGCTGGTTATTTTGCTCATTAGTTGATGCAGTTTCTTCCTAGCATTGATGGTCTTTACAATTTCGCATGTTTTTCCAGTGGCTGGTACCAGTTGTTCCTTTCCATGTTTAGTGCTTCCTTCAGGAGCTCTTGTAGGGCAGGCCTGGTGGTGACAAAATCTCTCAGCATTTGCTTGTCTCTAAAGTATTTTATTTATCCTTCACTTATGAAGCTTAGTTTGGCTGGGTATGAAATTCTGGGTTGAAAATTCTTTTCTTTAAGAATGTTGAATATTGGTCCCCACTCTCTTCTGGCTTGTAGAGTTTCTGCCGAGAAATCAGCTGTTAGTCTGATGGGCTTCCCTTTGTGGGTAACCCGACCTTTCTCTCTGGCTGCCCTTAACGTTTTTTCCTTCATTTCAACTTTGGTGAATCTGACAATTATGTGTCTTAGAGTTCCTCTTCTCGAGGAGTATCTTTATGGCATTCTCTGTATTTCTTGAATTTGAATGTTGGCCTGCCTTGCTAGATTGGGGAAGTTCTCCTGGATAATATCCTGCAGAGTGTTTTCCAACTTGGTTCCATTCTCCCCGTCACTTTCTGGTACACCAATCAGAAATAGATTTGGTATTTTCACATAGTCCCATATTTCTTGGAGGCTTTATTAATTTCTTTGTATTCTTTTTTCTTTAAACTTCTCTTCTCACTTCATTTCATTCATTTCATCTTCCATCACTGATACCCTTTCTTCCAGTCGATCGAATCGGCTACTGAGGCTTGTGCATTTGTCACATAGTTCTTGTGCCATGGTTTTCAGCTCCATCAGGTCCTTTAAGGGCTTCTCTGCATTGGTTATTCTAGTTAGCCATTCATCTAATCTTTTTTCAAGTTTTTCAACTTCTTTGCTATGGGTTCAGACTTCCTCCTTTAGCTCGGAGAAGTTTGATCGTCTGAAGCCTTCTTCTTTCAACTAGTCAAAGTCATTCTCCATCCAGCTTTGTTCCGTTGCTAGTGAGGAGCTGCGTTCCTTTGGAGGAGGAGAGGTACTCTGATTTTTAGAATTTTTAGTTTTTCTGCTCTGTTTTTTCCCCATCTTTGTGGTTTTATCTACCTTTGGTCTTTGATGATGGTGACGTACAGATGGGGTTTTGGTGTGGATGTCCTTTCTGTTTGTTAGTTTTCCTTCTAACAGTCATGACCCTCAGCTGCAGGTTTGTTGGAGTTTGCCGGAGGTCCACTCCAGACCCTGTTTGCCTGGGTATCAGCTGCAGAGGCTGCAGAACAGCGAGTATTGCTGAACAGCCAATGTTGCTGCCTGATCGTTCCTCTGGAAGTTTTGTCTCAGAGGAGTATCTGGCCGTGTGAGGTGTCAGTCTGCCCCTACTGGGGGGTGCCTCCCAGTTAGGCTACTCGGGGGTCAGGGACCCACTTGAGGAGGCAGTCTGTCCATTCTCAGATCTCAAGCTGCGTGCTGGGAGAACCACTACTGTCTTCCAAGCTGTCAGACAGGGACATTTAAGTCTGCAGAGGTTTCTGCTGCCTTTTGTTTGGCTACGCCCTGCCCCCAGATGTGGAGTCTACAGAGGCAGGGAGGCCTCCTTGAGCTGCAGTGGGCTCCACCCTGTTCGAGCTTCCCAGCCGCTTTGTTTACCTACTCAAGCCTCAGCAATGGCGGGCACCCCTCCCCCAGCCTCACTGCCACCTTGCAGTTTGATCTCAGACTGCTGTGCTAGCAAAGAGCGAGGCTCTGTGGGCATAGGACCCTCTGAGCTATGTGCAGGATATAATCTCCTGTTGTGCCGTTTGCTAAGACTATCAGAAAAGCACAGTATCAGGGTGGGAGTGACCCGATTTTCCAGGTGCCGTCTGTCACCCCTTTCCTTGGCTAGGAAAGGGAATTCCCTGACCCCTTGCATTTCTCGGGTGAGGTAATGCCTCACCCTGCTTCGGCTCATGCTCAGTGCACTGCACCCACTGTCCTGCACCCACTGTCTGACAATCCTCAGTGAGATGAACCCAGTACCTCAGTTGGAAATGCAGAAATCATTCATCTTCTGCGTCACTCATGCTGGGAGCTGTAGACTGGAGCTGTTCCTATTTGGCCATCTTTGCTTGGGAACCATATGATAATAGTTTTCTAACACATCAATATAATTGTCAAATTTTTAAAACATCCTTTATGTACAGACAATTAAAGTCAAAGGTTTAAGAAAGGCTTCATTTCCCTGGCTTCTTACTTGTATACCCTCCTCCCCTAAGCATGGTACAGAGCAATCTAGGATCTTGGCATAGGTAAAAGCTGATTCTGTTGAATGCTTACTATATCCCAAACTTATTACTAAGCATATTTTATACATTATCTTGCATATGTAGTAGGTTCTATTACTATCTCTATTTTTAAATGAAGGCACTGAAACATAAAGTTGTTAAATAAGTTGCATATGGTCACATAGTGGTGAAGTTATGAAGCTTAGAAAAAGAAATTGTAAAAGAATTGGATGAATTCAAAGAATAGTAGAAAATCAAGGGGTCCCTGTTTTCAAAGATGTATTTAGAGATCCTGATATTTACATTGAATTGAATCCTGAATGATCCTCACTTTTCCTATTTGTGATTAGACTGTGATGTCCAGTGCTACTCTAGAAACAGTTCCTCCTGGAAACTTTTGTTGTAAAGCTCTCCCCAGATTCCAAGAAATGTGGCCATGTGGTTCAGATGCCTGCATTCTTTATTTCCACATTTGTTTCACAGTAAAACCAGCGTTACTTGAAAGTTCTACCCATTAACTCTAGACAGTCCCCCTTATACCACTGGCTAATTCCAGAGACCACTGGAATTCATACTGAAAAGTGAAATATAAGTGAAAAGAAAAGAAGGCATATTCTTATTTCAATGTACCTACTCTGTGATGACAGTAAGCAGATACTGTGTATCATTTTGTGATCTGATTTTATAGTTATTTTCTACTTGTGTATTTGACATAACAAAATGTTGTATGACATTATGAATTCTCTCCATGAGGTCATTCTCTATTCACTGTATATAATTATCCTGGAAGCAATCAAGTTACAAGAATATTCTTAGTAACTCTAGACATTAGTTGATAATAATGTGATGTTTATACTTAAATAACTCTTAACCAAATATTGTATACTTAACCAAAACGTCATTTTAACAAAGAAATAAAAGAAATTTTCAAGCACACAAAAATTTAAGGAGTATACTAACCATGAACTCCTCTTTAAAACATACAGTGTATTTCAGTTGACTAAGATTAATAAGCATAGATGCCTCAAGAATCATCATATTAAAGAAATAGTTGTAAGATATAATTCAGTTGTAAAAAAAAAAAAAGTAACATTTTAATGCCAACATCCTATTAACAAAAATTGCAGTAGGTAAGAAGAATATAGTCATAAATTTCATATTAATTTTTTTATCTTTTAAGGTAGAGATGTGGGGGACAGTTGATTGGTATTGTTTCTGACTTCTAGAAGAAGAAATTAAAACATGTAGATAAAAATTTCTAAAAACAAAAAAGCAAGAGGACCTGGTGTGGTGGTTCACACCCGTAATCCCAGCACTTTGGGAGACAGAGATAGGAGGATTGCTTGAGCCCAGGAGTTCGAGGCCAGCCTTGGCAATGTAGTAAGACCTCTGTCTCTGCAAAAAAAACAAAAAATCATCCAGGTGTGCTGGCATGCACCTATAGTCCCACCTACTAGCGGCTAAGGTGGGAGGACTGCTTGAATCTGAGAAGTTGAATCTGCGGTGAGCCATGGTCATGCCACCACACTCCATCAAGACACGGTCTCAAAAAAAAAAAAAAGAAAAGAAAAAGAAAAGAAAAGCAAGAATGAAAGAGTCAAGAGTATAAAAAAAGAAAGTCTGAAACATGTCAGAAGACAATCATATCAGATATGATGTGTAAAGACAGAAAATTTTCTCCTTAGGAAAAACTCAAAAAGGATAGAAAACAAAATTCAGCCATATGATGTTTACCACAGACACATCTAATCAAAAATAGAGAGAATAATTTAAAATATTAGAACAAATAAATATTCATCCAGACAAAGGCTAATAACAGAAAATTAGGAGTGGAGGTGAGAAATAGGGCTTCATTTTATGTTTAAGACACTAATCACAATGCCTACACTATTGTTCTTTTATTCTGGAATTCTGAGGGTAGATCAAGTAAGAAGGTGGATCTGATGAAGCCAAGAAGACAGGGCAAGAAAAGTTCAGTGGTCATCAGTTCAAAGATTAGAGAGGATTGAAAATAGCTCCATGGACTACAGTGAGGAACATGACAACTGAGAACCCAATGCCTCCTGTCCTTGATGTTCCTCTCTCTAAATTAGACTCCTGAAGGAGAGAAGTTCTGAGCTAGAACTACAATTCTGGTATTTATTGTATTCTGGCCTATGACAGAAAGTCCAGTTATGGAAAAAAATTCTATTTATTATTCACCTCAGTTTGTAAATTATAATTAATACCATCTAAATAATACCAGTCTAGATGTTGCACTGAAGGTATGTTTTAGATTTGATTAACATCTAATTAACATCTAATCTAATCTAAAAAATATCTTCACTGCAACATTTAGACTAATATTTGACCAAATATCTTGGAATCATGGCCCAAACACGACATATAAAATTATATATATAATTGACATATAAAATTAACCATTACAGAAAGCAAAAAGAATTTTGCAAAAGCATCAGAAGTCAATATAATAAAACCTAATATAAAGGCCAGTATCTCAGAAACTGAACCTCAGAATGAGTAGTAAAATAATAATAAAACATACCAATAACACTAATAGTTCCTTGTAATTGATAGTGGCAGGAGGTAGACAAATTCGTAAGCAGACAGGGGAGGGTCCCTGGTGAAACCTGACCTTCAAGCCAAAGACAGCCTGAAGCCTGAAAATCAAGCTGCCAGTTCCAGGTAAAGTCCTAGAGCAGAGTAAGAACTTCCTCGATACCTTTTGTCCAATCAAATGGTGCTTTTTCCAGGCCTACCCACGGATTAATCAGTACTCACTCCCCCATTCTGAGCCCATAAAAGCTCCGGACTGAGCCACATGTGGAGACTACCCGTCTTGGGGTAGAGGCTACCCACTTCGGGTCCTCTCTCCACTAAGAGTTGTTCTGTGGCTCAATAAATCTCTTCTCCACCTTCTCTCTCTTCGGTTGTCAACGTAACCTCATTCTTCTTGGACACAGAACAAGAACCCAGGACCTACTAAAGACGCTGTAACACTGTAGTCCTCCCACCTTCCGCCGGTGCCGGGTGGCTGTCCCACATGACAGGAAGCAGCGGTGGGGCTGGGTCAGCCCAGGAGCCATGGGCTGGAGTGGGATAGCAGGATGGAATGAGCTGTAACACGAGCAAGCTGAAACACGTTCCTGGCCAGCCCACCAAGCTTAGGGCAGTGACACACACCCAATCACCAGAGTGTGAGACAAGAGCTGTGACACTCTGGGGGCCCAGACCTTGGGGCTCCCTCAGACAGAGCTGGGACACAATGTAACACCCCCTTGGGGCTCCATGGTCGCTGGCGTCTCCAAGTTTTCAGGCACCACCTCGCTCACCTCATCCAGATGCTGGCGCCCAAGGCGGAAGCCACTTGAGGCACACCTGGTCCAGCCACAGCCTCCCACATTGCTCGCGCCTGTGCTGGTGCTCCTGGCTGTGTGCTATGGCTGGTCCCCACGTCCACTTGCTCACACACTCTTTGCTGCTTCACGCCTGGCTCACCTGCAGCGGGCGTGGTAGCTGGGCCAGTAGTGTGAGCTGAGCATAGCCTGCCAGGCTGAGTTGGTGCAGCCA
Organism: Homo sapiens; assembly: GCF_000001405.40. Lineage (NCBI taxonomy): Eukaryota > Metazoa > Chordata > Mammalia > Primates > Hominidae > Homo > Homo sapiens. The sequence goes on along the minus strand of NC_000006.12, from coordinate 97,790,918 downwards.
GCCCAGTGGTTGTGAGCAAAACTCAAGCAGAGGCCCTGCTGGCCACAGAGGTTTCTGGCTGGAGAAGAGGCATGGAAAAAATCCTGTGTCACAATTATATAGGATTTTTTAAAACTTTCAAAACATTTTCATAAGTTGGTTTAAAATATCTGATAATTAGATATCTAAGGAAGAAGTTCTAACCATTTCTTTGCATACGAACGCAAAGCTATGCATTTAATTCAACTCGTCGTAAGAATGTGTTTCGTCTTACTTTCATAGCATGAATTATGAAAGGAAAGGTTTATCTAATTGATAAGAGGTAGAAACATAAAGATATTAGATAATATCTCCAATGTCTCTTAGCAGAGAGGATTTAAGCCCAAATATTCTGTTGAAGAAGCTTTTGTTCAACTCCGCCTCCCAGTTCTCTCCATGAAAATATCCAGACATTACAGCAAGGTAGGCATGGAAATCAAGTCAACAAACCATTTTTGAACAAATATTGCATTGAGAATACAAAGAACAATAAGAAAGAAATGATCTTTCATCTTGGGAACTGTGTAATCCACTACAGGAGATAAGTGGGTAACTGGGTACTAAGGATTTGAAGAGGAAGAAATGTAACTTGGCCTGGGTGGGCTCAGAAAAAAAAATATTGGAAGAGATTCCGAGTGTTAATTGTAGGCAACTGTTGGAGAAATAGTTGGAGAAAGGTAGTGCCAGAAGGAAAGATATCTAGGCAGAAAGAATAGCATGAACAATGGCATGGTGAGTATAGAGTGAGAGAGTACAATCAGTTCTAGATGCCAAAAGACAAGTGGATTTAAAGAGTGGGGAAAGTTAAGGCTGGATAGGTTTGTGGGTGGGGAATGGAAATTTTTGAGTGTTATAAACTGACAGAAAGTCAGTGAAAAATATGAAGAACACAGATTTAGACCTTAGCTTTTAGACCAATGCTTTTTTCCTGTAGCATTGCAGAAAAGATATTTGCAGGTGAAAAGACTAGAGACAGGAAGACCATTTAGTAGGTTTTGCAGTTATTACATTATGAGCAATTGTAGTAGCTCAAACAGATGGAAAGCACTTCTAATCTGCTGGCTTGTATACTGAACCCAAATTGAAGCTTCCCCATCACTCCTAAAAGCTGTCTTCCTAGGAGAAGGATAGGTAGGGAGGCCAGCAGGGGAATTAAAATAGTGAACTACACAATTTCAAGCAATAACTTACTGGTTACCAACATGATGATTTTGAACCTCACTAAAAAGTTGAACAGATTCTCACAAGAGAATTGTCAAAAATAAGCATAAAGCTGAACAATTAAAGCTAACTGATACTTGGTGAAACTGATTTGGTATAGATATTGGGTAGAAATTTTTAAATTATAAGTTGCATTAAAGAATTAAGGGGATAAATCATTCATAAGGTATCAGCAAGCTATAAAAATAACTTTAGTGAAATAAACACATTCTTAATATAAAATAGCATGAGTAGCCAAATATAAATTTTAATAGATGCAAACATACCAATCTAATTCCTGAAATAGGTCACCTTATAAAACTGCTTCCCTGTAGTCATCTTCTAGACTTAAAAAATTAAAAAAGAAAAAAGAAGCTAAAGGAGGTACTTACCACCTAGATTCAACTTGGCAGTCTCACTAAGAAATACCAAATTTAGTACTAACTAATTCTGGCTACTAACTAGAAGAAACATGAAAAATTTTGAGGGGAAAATACTTGTGTCTGCTATTGCTCCCCTGACAAAATGGGTCGGAAGTGGCATAAACAGAGCCACAGCAAAGTCTGAAGCAACTAAATAGGTACAAATAAATGGTCACTCCTGTCTATTTTATCATGGATTCAGCCCAAGACGAATTACGTGAAGTGTATTTCTAAGGAAGCTCTAGATTCAAGAAGGCATTAAGTTAGAAAACAGGTTAACAGTAAAAAGTGCATGAGTAGAATTTCACATAAGAATCTCCTAACACTTTAAACTTTCTCCATGGGAAAATGCATGTGCACATAAACTTCTAGGGAGCTAACAAATATTTCAAGCACATCCATGGAATCTATAATCTGTAATCTATAATCCATGGAATCTATAATCAAATACTCCATATTAAAAACCCACAGATGTAAGCAAACTAGGACTAGAGGGGAACTTCTTCAACTGGATGCAGAATATCCACCAAACACCTAGATTGTCAAAAGGCAAAAATATCTTCTCTCACCACTCTTTTTCAATGTCATACTGGAAGTCCTAGCTAATGCAATAAAACAAACAAAAAAAAGGGTATATAGACTGAGAAGAAAAAAAAATTCAGTTGTCTTTGTTTGCAGACATGATTGTCTATGTATACAATTCAAGAGTCAACAACAAAAAAAAACTGTAACTAATAAGAGATTATAGTGGGGTTGAAGAAAAGAAAATAGGTAAAAGAAAAAAATAGGTAAAAATCTATCAAAATATAAATAGAATTATATGAAGGAAACTACAAAACTCAGATGAAAGAAACCAAAGAACTAAATAAACAGAAATATGTTGCATGTTCATGGTTAGGAAGACTCAATATTGTCAAGATGTCACCTCTTCCAAAATTGATTATAGATTCAATGCAGTCTCAATCATAATCTCAGCAATGATAAGCCAAAAGACTAAGAATACCCACAATACTGAAGAATAAGAACAAAGTTGAAGGGCAACCACTACCCCAACTCAGGACTTACTATTAAACTGCAGTTATCAAGACAATGCGGTATTGGTAAAAGAACAGATAACACATCAATGGAACAGAAAAGAGAGCTCAGAAAGAGACCCACATAAGTATAGTCAGCTGATCTTGGACAAAGAAGCAAAGGCAATGTAATGGAGTAAAGACAGTCTTTTAACAAATGGTGCTAGAAGAGCTGCACATCCGCATGCAAAAAGGAAAAATGAACATAGACACAGACCTTACATCCTTTCCAAAAATTAACTCAAAATGGATCACAGACCTATATGTAAAATATTAAACTATAAAACTCCTGGAAGATAATATAGAAGAAAAGCTAGATGACCTTATGTAGGAACACGACATTTAGATACTATACCAAAGGTATGATCTGTGAAAGAAAATTGATAAGCTGGACTTCATTCAATTTAAAATGTCTGCTCTGCAAAAAGCAGTCAAGAGAAGACAAGCCACAGACTTGCAGTAAATATTTGCACAAGATTGTTGATATAGTTTGGATATATGTCCCTGCCAAAATCTCATGTTGAATTGTAATCTCCAGTGTTGGAGGTGGGGCCTGGTGGGAAGTGATTGGATCATAGGGGTAGATCCTTCATGCATAGTTTAGCACCATCTCCTTGATACTGTCCTTGAGATAGAGAGTGAATTGTTTAAAAATGTATAGCACCTCCCCCCAACCCCACCCCCGCTTCTTGTTCTTGCTCCTACCATGTAAGATGTGCCTGCTTCCCTTTTGCTTTCCACCATCATTGTAAGTTTCCTGAGACCTCTCCAGAAGCCAAGTAGATTCCAGCATCATGTTTCCTGTACAGCCTGCAGAACCATAAGCCAATTAAACCTCTTTTTCTTATAAGTTACCCAGTCTCAGGTATTTATTTGTAGTAACTGAAGAACAGACTAATACAATTGTTATCCAAAATATTTTTAAAAAAAAACCTTAAAACTTAACGATAAGAAAATAAATAGACCAATTTAAAAATGGGCAAAGACCTGAACAAATACTTTGCCAAAGAAGATATACAAATGGTAAATAAGCATATAAAAAGACATCCACATCCTGTCACTAGGGAAATGCCAATTAAAACAAAAATGTGCTACCATTACATGCCTAATAGAATAGCCCAAATCCAGAACACTGACAGTACCAAAAGCTAGCAAAGATGTGGATCTATAGAAACTCTTTTTCATTGCTGATGAGAATACAAAATGGCGGAGCAAATTTGGAAGACAATTCGGCAGTTTCTTACAAAATGAAACATACTTTTAACATACCATTCAGCAATTACCTGCCTTGGTACTTACCCAAAGAAGTTAAAAACTTATGTTCACTTAAAAATGGTTCATGCATTTTTATGGCAGCTTTACTCATAACTGCCATAACTTGGAAACAACCCAAATGTCCTTCAGTAGGTAAATGGATAAATAAACAGTAGTACATCCAGACAATGCAATATTATTCAGGACTGAAAAAAATCAAGCCATGAAAAGACTTGGAAAAACCATAAATGCATATGATTCAGTGAAAAGAGTCAGTCTGAAGAGACTACAAACCACATTATTCCAGGTATATGACATTCTGGAAAAGGGAAAACCCTGTTGATAGTAAAAAGATCAGTGATTGTCAGGGGTTGGTAGGAGGAAGAAATGAATAGGAGAGGAGTTTTAGGGCAGGGAAATTATTCTGTACGATACTATCATAGTGGATACATGTCAGTATACATTTGTCAAAATCCAGTATATATAACACCAAGAGTGAACCCTAATGTAAACTATGGACTTTGAGTGATGATGATGTATCATACTACGTTCCTCAGTTATTACAGATACACCATTTTGATGTTGGAGATGGCCATGTGGAGGTTGTGGGTACATGAGACTCTCTTTACTTTCTGCTTAATTTTCTGTGAACCTAAAACTGCTTTAAAAAATAAAATCTGTTTAAAAAGAAAAAGAACCCCATAGTCTGTAAGAAAACAAGAATCACTGGAACAGTTTTAGGAGACTAAATTGTAGGACAGGTTATGGAATATAGGGAGTTCAATAATCTAGACAATCTATATCAGAGGCCATGCTGGACTGATTCTCAAACCATAAGATATTAATAAGATAAGATGATAATATAGACAAGATAAGATGCACTTGGATAGAGTAGTAGAATTAAACTAACTGAAAGAAAGTGAAACTTACAGGACTGTCAAAAGAATTTAGAGGACCTGACAGGCCGGGCACGGTGGCTCATGCCTGTAATCCCAGCACTTTGGGAGGCCGAGGCGAGCAGATCACAAGGTCAGGAGATCGAGACCATCCTGGCTAACATGGTGAAACCCCATCTCTACTAAAAATACGAAAAATTAGCCAGGAGTGGTGGCAGGCGCCTGTAGTCCCAGCTACTCAGGAGGCTGAGGCAGAAGAATGGCGTGAACCCGGGATGTGGAGCTTGCAGTGAGCCAAGATGGCGCCACTGCACTCCAGCCTGGGGGAGAGTGCAAGACTCCATCTCAGAAAAATAAATAAATAAATAAATAAGACCTGACAAAAGAATTTTATTACTCTTTCCAGATAAATCAAAGCCATATTAAGATTTACAAAAGAGTGAACTCAATAGTTGTCCTTGCATAGCATTCACTGTAACACTTTATAAGTAATTGTTTTCTTAAACCTTATATCAACCTGGTATGATATAGTTACCAATTCATTCCCTTTTACCCTCTGTAAAATTAGAAAACAACGGGTCTCCAATCTTTCCTGAAAATTCTGTCTTGTTATTTATGACACGTTATTTAAGCTTGCCTTCTACTTTCTCTTTTCTAGTTTGAATACAATACAGCCCTATGTATTACTTTGGTAAATGAAATAAAATAAAAATATTTTAGATAAAAGGTTTCATGCGCATCCGTGTGAAGAGACCACTAAACAGGCTTTGTGTGAGCAACATGGCTGTTTATTTCACCTGGGTGCAGGCGGGCTGAGTCCGAAAAGAGAGTCAGTGAAGGGAGATAAGGGTGGGGCCGTTTTATAGGATTTGGGTAGGTAAAGGAAAATTACAGTCAAAGGGGGTTTGTTCTCTGGCGGGCAGGAGTGGGGGTCACAAGGTGCTCAGTGGGGGTGCTTTTTGAGCCAGGATGAGCCAGGAAAAGGACTTTCACAAGGTAATGTCATCACTTAAGGCAAGGACCGGCCATTTACACTTCTTTTGTGGTGGAATGTCATCAGTTAAGGTGGGGCAGGGCATATTCACTTCCTTTGTGATTCTTCAGTTACTTCAGGCCATCTGGGTGTATACTTGGTGCAAGTCACAGGGGATGCGATGGCTTGGCTTGGGCTCAGAGGCCTGACATTCCTGCCTTCTTATATTAATACAAAAAATAAAACAAAATAGTGTTGAAGTGTTGGGGTGGCGAAAATTTTTGGGGGGTGGTATGGAGAGAGAATGGGCAATGTTTCTCAGGGCTGCTTCAAGCGGGATTAGGGGCGGCGTGGGAACCTAGAGTGGGAGAGATTAAGCTGAAGGGAGGTCTTGTGGTAAGGGGTGATATTGTGGGGATGTTAGAAGAAACAATTGTCATATAGAATGATTGGTAATAGCCTGGATACGGTTTTGGATGAATTGAGAAACTAATGGAATAACAGAAAGAGAAAAACAGGTATAAAAGGTCTAAGAATTGGGACGACTCAGGATATCTGATTAGAGAGTGCCTAAGGAGATTCAGCATAGTCCTGCCAGCAAAGATTATTTATTTACTTCAAGAGTTAAGAGTGGCAGTTTGGGGATAGCACCAGGAGATATCAGCTGTGATGGCTTGGAAAAACAGTGTAAACCGGCAGTGTAAACAAGAGCAGGGCATGTATGAGTAGTTTAGAATGGTGAATAGGAGTATGACTAGACAGAAGATAGTAGGGATGACAAGATTTTGGGGCACAGTCTAAGTTGGTCTGGTGTCTGGAATGAGACTGGGGCCTAATAAAAAGGAGTGTCTATACAGGAGCTTAAATGGGCTGTACCCTGTAGCATTCCGAGGACAGGCCTGAATTCTGAGAAGGGAAAGTGGTAAAAGTATTGTCCAGTCCTTTTTGGTGGCTGAGCTTGGTGAGGTGTGTTTTTAAAAGACCTTTAGTCCATTCTACTTTTCTTGAAGACGGAGGACCGTAAGGGATATAAAGGTTTCACTGAATACTAAGAGCCTGAAAAACTGCTTGGCTGATTTGTCTAATAAAGGCTTGTCTGTTATCAGACTGTATAGAGGTGGGAAGGCTAAACTGAGGAATTATGTCTGACAGAACGGAAGAAATGACTGCGATGGCCTTCTCAGACCCTGTAGGAAAGGCCTCTACCTATCCAGTGAAAGTATCTACCTAGATTAAGAGGTATTTTAGTTATCTGTCTCAGGGATGTTGAGTAAAGCTAATTTGCCAGTCCTGGGTGGGGCAAATCCTCCAGCTTGATGTGTAGGGAAGGGAGGGGGCCTGAATAATCCCTGAGGAGTAGTAGAATAGCAGATGGAACACTGAGAAGTTATTTCCTTGAGGATAGATTTCCACGATGGAAAGGAAATGAGAGGTTCTAAGAGGCGGGCTAGTGGCTTGTACTATAGTATAACCTGCCTTTGCTGGTGTGTGGCGATTAGGCCTGGTGGAACTGCCATCAATAAATCAAGCGTGATCAGGGTGAGGAACAGGAAAGAAGGAAATTTGGGGAAATGGGGTGAATGTCAGGTGGATCAGAGAGATACAGTCATGGGGGTCAGGTGTGGTATCAGCAATAATGTGGGAGGCCAGACTGAAGTCTCGGCCAGGAACAACTGTAATTGTGGGAGACTCAACAAAGAGTGAGTATAGCTGAAGGAGCTGGGAAGCCAAAAGTATATGTGTCAGGTATGAGGAAGAAAATAGATTTTGGAAGTTATGAGAACTGTAGAGAGTGAGTTGAGCATAGTTTGTGATTTTGAGGGCCTCTAAAAGTATTAAAGCAGCGGCAGCCACTGCACACAGACATGAGGGCTAGGCTAAAACAGTAAGGTCAAGTTGTTTGGACAGAAAGCCTACAGGGTGTGGTCGTGGCTGTTGTGTAAGAATTCTGACTGTGCCAACCATGCCTAGGATGTAAAGGAGTTGTTTTATAGAAGGTGCTGGGGTTTGAGAGATCAGTCAGACACGATTGGCAGGGAGAGCATGTGTGTTTTTATGAGAATTATGCCGAGATAGGTAGCAGATGAGGAAGAAATTTGGGCTTGATTGAAGTAATGGGGACTGTCTGTGAAGCTTTGCGGCAGTACAGCCTAGGTAATTTGCTGAGCTTGATGGGTGTCAGGGTCAGTCCAAGTGAAAGCGAAGAGAGGCTGGGAATAAGGGTGCAAAGGAATAGTAAAGAAAGCATGTTTGAGATCTAGAACAGAATAATGGGTTGTAGAGGCAGGTATTGAGGATAGGAGAGTATATGGGTTTGGTACCATGGGGTGGATAGGCAAAACAATTTGGTTGATAAGGCGCAGATCCTGAACTAACTTGTAAGGCTTGTCTGGTTTTAGGACAGGTAAAATGAGGGAATTGTAAGGAGAGTTTATAGGCTTTAAAAAGCCATGCTGTAGCAGGCAAGTGATAACAGGCTTTAATCTTTTTAAAGCGTGCTGCGGGATGGGATAAGGGTGATTAGGTTTTAATGAGATGGTAAGGGGTGCATGATCAGTCGCCAAGGAGGGAGTAGAGGTATCTTATACTTGTGGGTTAAGGTGGGGAGATACAAGAGGAGGACGCAAAGGAGGCTTTGGATTGGGAAGAAGGGCGGCAATGAGATACAGCTGTAGTCCAGGAATAGTCAGGGAAGCAGATAATTTAGTTAAAGTGTCTCAGCCTAATAAGGGAACTGGGCCGGTGGGGATAATTAAAAAGGAGTGCTTAAAAGAGTATTGTCTAAGTTGGCACCAGAGTTGGGGAGTTTTAAGAGGCTTAGAAGCCTGGCCATCAATACCCACAACAGTTATGGAGGCAAGGGAAACAGGCCCTTGAAAAGAAGGTAATGTGGAGTGGGTAGCCTCCGTATTGATTAAGAAGGGGACGGGCTTACCTTCCACTGTGAGAGTTACCCGAAGCTCGGCGTCCGTGACGGTCTAGGGGGCTTCCGAGGCGATCGGGCAGTGTCAGTCTTCAGCCGCTAAGCCGAGAAGATCTGGCAAGGAGTCAGTCAGAGAGCCTTGGGCCAGAGTTCCAGGGGCTCTGGGAGTGGCTGCCAGGTGAGTTGAACAGTCTTATTTTCAGTGGGGTCCCACACAGATGGGACGCGGCTTAGGAGGAATCCCAGGCTGCAGGCATTCCTTGGCCCAGTGGCCAGATTTCCAGCACAGGTAGCAAGCTCCTGTGGGAGGAGGTTCTGGAGGAATGCCTGGCCGCTGCAGTTCAGGTGTTTGGAAGTTCTTGTGTGCTGGAGATGTGGCTGGGGGGTTTGTCTCACAGTGGAGGCAAGGAATTGCAACTTTTTTCTATTATTGTACACCTTGAAGGCGAGGTTAATTAAATCCTGTTGTGGGGTTTGAGGGCCGGAATTTAATTTTTGGAGTTTTATTTAATGTCGGGAGCAGATTGGGTAATAAAATGTATTTTGAGAATAAGACGGCCTTTTGACCTTTTAGGGTCTAGGGCTGTAAAGCGTCTCAGGGTTTCTGCCAAACAAGTCATGAACTGGGCTGGATTTTTATATTTGATGAAAAAAAGCCTAAACGCTATCTGATTTGGGATAAAGAAAAAGGAGCATTAACCTTGACTATGCCTTTAGCTTCAGCCACCCTTTTAAGAGTAAATTGCTGGGCAGGTGGGGGAGGGCTAGTCACGGAATGAAACTGTAAGCCGGACCAGGTGTGAGGAGGGGAGGTGATAAAAGGATTATAGGGTGGAGGAGCAGAGGCTGAGGAAGAATTGGGACCTAGCTCAGCCTGGCGAGGAGCAGCCTGGGGAGGAAGGGAGAGGTCAGATGGATCTGTAGAAAACGAAGATTAGAAAGACTCAGCGACGCTTGGGGTTGGTACTGAGGGGACAGGCGGGAGGGAAAGAAGGAAGATTTGGGATGAGTTGCACTGGGCACAGAGACTAGGAAGGGACTGATGTGTAAAAGAATGCTTGGACGTCAGGCACCTCAGACCGTTTGCCTATTTTATGACAAGAATTATTTAGATCTTGCAGGATGGAAAAATTCAAAGTGCCATTTTCTGGCTATTTGGAACTACTGTCCAGTTTGTATTGGGGTCAAGCGGCATTGCAGAAGAAAATAAGGCATTTAGGTTTTAGGTCAGGTGTGAGTTGAAGAGGTTTTAAGTTTTTGAGAACACAGGCCAAGGGAGTAGGAGGAGGAATGGAGGGTGGAAGGTTGCCCATAGTGAAGGAAGCAAGCCTAGAGAAAAGAGAGAGTAGAGAAATGGAGGGAAGGGGTTTGGGGGTTCTTACCTTCCAGAAAAGTGGGAAAAGGGGTTGGGGCACAGAGATAAGAGGTAGGGGTGTGGAAATAAGGGATTGGGTGCAGAAATAAGGGGTCGGGGCATGGAAATAAGGGGTCGGGGCATGGAAATAAGGGGTTGGGGCATGGAAATAAGGGATTGGGGCACAGAGATAAGAGGTCAGGGCGTGGAAATAAGGGATTGGGGCAGAGAGATACAAGGTTGGGGTACTTGCCCCTCCTCTAGAAAAGCAGGACTTGCCGCTAAGAGTGAAGGAGAAGGGGTTGAGGGGTACTTGCCCCTCTCCCAGAAAAGCAAAGAAGGGGTAGAGACAAGGAGAGAAGGGGTTGGGGTACTTGCCCTTTCCCCAGAAAAGTGGGACTTGCCACTAAGGGTGAAGGACCAAGGCAGGCGTCCCTGCATGGTCTGACACCTTTGAAACATGGGTGAATAATCAGAGAGGTGTTCCTGCAATGATTAAACACCAAGGGAAGGCTGCCTTCCCAGTCCGTGACCGGCACCGGAGTTTTGGGTCCACGGATAAAATGTGTCTCCTTTGTCTCTACCAGAAGATGAAAGGAATTGAAATTAAGAGAAGGGAGAGATTGAAGTGTAGCACCAAGATTGGAAGGAGAAAGAGGTTGAGGGATAGTGAGGGAAGTTGGAGAAGAGAGTAAAAAGAGGCTGCTTACTGGATTTGAAATTGGTGAGATGTTTCTTGGGCTGGTCGGTCTGAGGACCTGAGGTCGTAGGTGGATCTTTCTCATGGAGCAAAGAACAGGAGGACAGGGGATTGATCTCCCAAAGGAGGTCCCCCGATCCGAATCACAGCACCAAATTTCATGCGTGTCCGTGTGAAGAGACCACCAAACAGGCTTTGTGTGAGCAACATGGCTGTTTATTTCACCTGGGTGTAGGCGGGCTGAGTCCGAAAAGAGAGTCAGTGAAGGGAGATAAGGGTGGGGCCATTTTATAGGATTTGGGTAGGTAAAGGAAAATTACAGTCAAAGGGGGTTTGTTCTCTGGCGGGCAGGAGTGGGGGTCACAAGGTGCTCAGTGGGGGTGCTTTTTGAGCCAGGATGAGCCAGGAAAAGGACTTTCACAAGGTAATGTCATCACTTAAGGCAAGGACTGGCCATTTACACTTCTTTTGTGGTGGAATGTTATCAGTTAAGGTGGGGCAGGGCATATTCACTTCTTTTGTGATTCTTCAGTTACTTCCGGCCATCTGGGCGTATACTTGGTGCAAGTCACAGGGGATGCGATGGCTTGGCTTGGGCTCGGGCTCAGAGGCCTGACAAAAGGTACCCAGAACAGCCCATAATAAAAAGGAAGATCATATATAGTGAGATAATTTACTGATTAAGAAGACCAAGTTTTTGATTACTGGAAAAGTTATTTCTTATTTCTTAGCACATAGCAAGTACACAAAAAATTTCTGAAGAATGAATTAATATACGCTAATAATTTGGAACTCTGCTGTATAAAGACATCATTATCACCATGGCTATAATCAGCATCACCACCATTATCACATTATGGTGTTGATGAAAAGAGTCAAATTCTGTAAAATAGTTAAAGAGGTTTATTCTGAGCCAAATATTAGTGCCCATGACATAGCCCCAGGAGGTCCTGAGAACATAGGCACAAGGTGATTGGATGACAGCTTGGTTTTATACATTTTTGGGAGACATAAGATATCAATCAATACATCAGTATATTCAAGGTATGCATTGGTTCAGTCTGGAAAGGCAGGACAACTTAAAGTGGGGAAAGGGCTGGGCTTCCGGGTCACAGTTGGATTCATGGATTCAAAGGTTTTCTGATTAGCAATTGGTTGAAAGAGTTAAGTTATTATCTACAGATCTGGAATCAACAGAAAGGACTATTAAGATAACAAGGGCTGTGGAGACCAAGGTTCTTAAAGCAGATGAAGACTTCGGGTAGCAGGCCTCAGAAAAAATAGCCGTAACTGTCTCTAATTAGGCATAAAAAGGTGCCAGACTCTTAGTTAACCTCTTCTAGATCAGGAAAAGACCTGAAAAGGGAAGGAGATTCTCTACAGAATGAAAGTTTTCCCCACAAGAGATAGCTTTACAGGGGTCATTTCAAAATATGTCTAAGAAATATATTCTGGGGTAAAACATACAGTTTCTTTCACGGACTGCTATTTGTCTTGTGATGCTATACTAAATTTGGTATCTTATTGCTACAAAGAATCTATTTTATCACTCTTAAGACCTCTATTTTAATGTTAATGTTGGTCAATTGTACCTGAATTCCAAAGGGAGGAGACTGTAACAAGGCATGTCTGAACGCTCCTTTCTATCATGGCCAGACTAGTTTATCAGGTTTACCTTGGAATGCCCTTGGCCCACAAAAGGGATCTTTTCAGTCACTTGGGGGGCCTAGATTTTGTTTTTGATTTACAATGCAACTTTATTTCTCATTAGATGCTAGAGTCAACACTTGGCCTCCAACTCCCACAAGAGTTGTGGCATTTTCTCCCCATTGCAATATACTCTAGGGAAACCCATACTCCCAAGAAAAAAAAATGGTTTTGTATGGCAAAAATTCTTGGGTTTTTTGTTGTTGTTGTTGTTTGCTTGTTTTTTGTTTTTATCTTAAAGACAGTGCTTTCAATATTTTCTCATTAAGCATATATAATATTTGCTTTGGGCTTTTATAGACTGTATCAATGTTAGGAAGTTTCTTTTCTTCTTCACTTGCTAATAGTTTCTGTTTTATTGAATCTTACCAAATGCTTTTTTTGTATCTGAAGACATAATCTTGTAATTTATCTTCCTTAATATGCTGCTATTTTAATTACACTAATTGATTTTCTAATATTAAATTATGTATTTTTGGACAAACACAAAATGCCTTTAATGTGTGGTTTTTATACATTACAGGATTTGATTTGCTTAGGATTTCTGCATCTATTTCCAGGAGTAATCTGCTTATTTCTTTCTTGTACTGACTTCTCTTGAACTAGTTTGATAAATGTATCTTAAAATGCTTGTAAATTTATTGATATAAAATTATTGATTAGCATCTTAAGTTATTTTAATATCTCCTATGTCTGTAGTTATACCCCCGTTTCCATACTAAATATTATTTTGTTACAAGGAGCACCTCTTCTTATTTGACAATTTTGCTAAAGTTGGCCTATTTTATTCATTTTTTAAAAATGCTTTGTTAAACCTTTCTAGTAAATATTTATTTTCTATAATATTGATTTCTGCTTTTATTGCAATTCTTTTCTCCAATCTTTTTTCTATTGTTCTTTTTTCTAACTTATAAAGTTGGAAATTTATACTTTCTTCATTTCTAACAAAAGCATTTAGAACCATACATTTTGGTCTAAATTACATTTTAGCTATATCCCAAAGTTTTGATATGTAGTATTTTCAAAATAATTCAGGTGTAAATACTTTCTAAAATAATTCAGGTGTAAATACTTTCTAACGTTCATTAAAAATTACTTGGAGCTTTGCTTTTTAACTTCCAAATGTTTGGGAGTTTTGTAGTTTTTGTTGTTTTTTACTAATGCAATTGCATTGCAAGCAGAGTGTGGTCTTCATGACACTAATCTTTGAAATTTGTCGAGGTTAGTTTTTATGGCTTAGCACATAGTCAATTTTCATAAATGTTCTAGATGTGCTTAAGAAGAATGCACATGTCACAGTTGTTGGGGGGTGTACTTTAATGCCCATCCCCTAGGTTGAACTTGTACTTGGGCAGTTCAAATTTTAATATCCTACTAATATTTTATTTGCCTAATTTATCATTTACTCCATTATTTAAATTATTTCAATAATAAGGTAGGCTTTCAATTTATCTTGCAGTCCTGCCAATTTTTTCTTTACTATTTTGAAGTTATGTTGTTAAGTACATAACAATTAAAATTGTTGAGTGCCTGTGACTTGAATTTTTTGTCATCATAAAATGATTCTCTTTATCTGTTTTCTATTTGATCTGAAATTAATATTTCATACCAGGCTTCATGTAGTTAGACTTTATCTGCTATATCTTTTCCCCTACTTTGAATTGCATATTTGTCTATCTGTAAATCTCCACTGCATCTCTTGTAAACACACTGAGCATATATAGTGCATACAACTGGATATTAACAGACTGAAAATCTTTTTCCTTAACTGGGGAGTTTAATATATTTACATTTATTTTTATGTTTTCTATGTGTTCTACACTTTCTGTGTTTCTTCTATCTCCCATTTGTCTTAATTTTTCTTTTGTAACAAAACAAGATTATCATGATAGGTAAAAGTATGTATGTTTTACAAATTAATAATAATAACTGGCACCCTACATTGAGTAATTTATACTAATATATATTATTCTCTTTAATCTTTACAATAACCTTGTGATGTAGTTACTATGATATTCTGAAGTATGTTTCCCAACTTGGTTCCATTCTCCCCATCTCTTTCAGGTACCCCAATCAGTCGTAGGTTTGGTCTTTTTACATAATCACATAGTTTTCAGAGGTTTTGTTTGTTCTTTTTCATTTTTTTTTCTAATCCTGTCTGCCTGTTTTATTTCAGCAAGGTAGCCTTCAAGCTCTGAAATTCTTTCCTCCCCTTGGTTTATTCGACTATTCATACTTGTGGCTCCATTGCGAAGTTCTCCTGTTGTGTTTTTCAGCTCCATCAGGTCATTTATGTTCCTCTCTAAACTGGTTATTCTGGTTAACAGCTCCTGTAATGTTTTATCATAGTTCTTAGCTTCTTTGCATTGAGTTAGAACTTAGCTCCTTTAGCTCAGTGAAGTTCATTATTACCCACCTTCTGAAGGCTTCTTCTGTCAATTTATCCATCTCAGCCTCCTCCCAGTTTTTGCTGGAGAGGTGTTATGATCATTTGGAGAAGAGGCACTCTGGTTTTTTGAGTTTTCCGTGTTTTTAGTTTTCTTTCTCATCTTCATGGGTTTATCTAGCTTTGATCTTTGAGGTTGCTGACATTTGGATAGGGTTTTTGTGGGAATGTTTTTGTTGATGCTGTTGTTGTCGTTGATTTCTGTTTGTTTTTATTTTAACAGTCAGGCCCCTCTTCTATAGGGCTGCGGTTTGCTGGGAGTTCTCTCCAGACCCAATTCAGCTGGGTCCCTCCTTCACCTGACGATGTCACCAGTGGAGGCAGCAGAATATCAAAGATGGCTGCCTGCTCCTTCTTCTGGAAGCTCTGTCCCAAAGGGACACCAACCTGATGCTGGCGGGAATGGTCCTGTGTAAGGTGTCTGGTGGCCCCTGTTGGTGGGTCTCACCCAGTCAGGAGGCATGGTATCAGGGACCCACTTAATGAAGCACTCTGGCTGCCCCTTGGTGAGGGTACACTGCACTCGGGGGAATTCCTCTCATTGGGAGTGCCTGGATTCCTCAGAGCCAGCAGGAGGAAAGACTAAGACTGCTGATCCCTGGAGACTGTGACCGTCCCTCCCCACTGAGGCTCCTTCCCAGGGAAATCAAGAGTTCTGTCTGTGAACTCCTGGCTGGAGTTGCTGAAATTCCTGCAGTGAGGCTCCACCCGGTGAGAAGGAATGGGTCAGAGTCCAGCCTAAAGAGGTAGTCTGGTCACCATCTGTCAGCTGCTGTGCTGCACTGTGAGGAATTCCTCCTGGGTCCAAACTACTCAGTCTCCCCAGCGCCAGCAGGGGAAAAATGGCTGACTAGAGCTGTAGTGATGGCTGCTGCCCTTCCCCGCGGAGCTCAGTCATCTTAGGCAGCAGGCAGAGGCAATGAGGACTGATGCCCTTCACTCCAGGAACTCACTAGTCTTAGGCAGTCTGCAGCTGAGTGGCCACTGAGAATCTGCACAGCTCTGTGCTTGGGACCCAAGGCCCTGGTGCCGTGGGCTCACGAGGCAGATGTCCTGATCCATGGGTTGCACAGATCCATGGAAAAAAACGTGGTTTCCCAGGTGGGGTAGCACACTCACTCACTGCCTCCCTTGGCGGGAAGTGGGAGCTCCCCTTACCTGTGTGGCTTCCGGGTAGGCTGTCACTCTACCCTGTTTTTCCTCGCTCTCCATAGGTCGTGCTAACCATCTAGTCAATCCCAGTGAGAGACCCTAATACTTCAGTTGTTGGTGCAGGATTCACTTGCCATTTTCATTTTTCTCAGTGGGAGCATCTGACTGCAGCTGTTTCTAGTCAGCCATCTTGGCCCCTCCCCTAAGGATTTTTTGTTGTTGTTGTTTTTGTAGAAATCCTAATGATTTCTTTCTTCCTTAATAGATTATCTTGTGCTCCTTGAGGACCTCTGCCATAGTGGTAGTCATAAGAGCAGGAAAGAATTAGAATATAAAAGAGTAGGAAGAAAGTATTATAAACTTAAAATGTAAGCTTTGCTTGAGAAAAGTCAATGGAAACTCCAAGGATTTGAGCCTGTGGGTCTGGGTGAATAAAGTGTTAGTAACAGAAAGAGACAGAAGAGCAGGGAATTACGAGTAAAAATGTTAAACTTTTTTGGAATGTATTGTGTTGTAGTTTCTGGTGTGATATCAATGTGAAAAGTGGCAAACAATTGGAAATTAACACTTGGAATTCAGGTGTTGTTTGCTGATTTGATTGTTTGGATACACCAAACATTCAAACTAAACTAAACTAGTATTTAAAATAAAAGAGACTGGTGGCAGGTGCCTGTAATTCCAGCTACTCGGGAAGCTGAGCCAGGAGAATTGCTTGAACCCAGAAGGCAGAGGTGCAGTGAGCCGAGATGGCCCCATTGCACTCCAGCCTGGGGAACAAGAACGAAACTCCGTCTCAAAAATAAATAAATGAATGAATAAATAAATAATAAAAATAAAGAGAGACACTCAATTGTTCAAAGATATGTGTTAATTAAAGTGAAATTAATTCATAGTTATTTTCAGTTTACCAAAGAAAACAAATTAGATAAGACCCTTTGGGATCACTGAGGGTGTAATGAAGAGGGGAAGACTTCAAATAGGTCATTGTCATCAATGAGGAACACACTAAGTTAGTTTAAAACACTCACTTAGGTTGGAGCCTAGTCCCACAATGTTGAGCCTCATTCTTATTCCTCTTTCTGGTGGATCAGAGTGAACTATCATTTGAGAGTATGCAGTTTTGCCTCATATTTTCATTAACAATTATAAATTAACCAAAATTCAGTAAGGGAACAAAGAGTTTACCATCTTTGGCAAATCACATTTTTTTTTTTTTTTTTTTTTTTTGAGACAGAGTTTCGCTCTTGTTGACCTGGCTGGAGTGCAATGGCACAATCTCAGCTCACCACAACCTCCACCTCTGGGGTTCAAGCGATTCTCCTGCCTCAGCCTTCCGAGTAGTTAGGATTACAGGCATTGCGTCACCATGCCCGGCTAATTTTTGTATTTTTCTTAGAGACGGGGTTTCTCCATGTTGGTCAGGCTGGTCTCAAACTCCCGACCTCAGGTGATCTGCCCACCTCGGCCTCCCAAAGTGCTGGGATTACAGGCGTGAGCCACCACGCCTAGCCCCAAATCGCATTTTTTGAAGGTGTAATATTAAATGGCACAATACTCATAGATAAACAATATGAGCAAAGTACAAAATGTGCCAGCCGGGCACGGTGGCTCACGCCTGTAATCCCAGCACTTTGGGAGGCCGAGGTGGGCGGATCATGAGGTCAGGAGATCGAGACCATCCTGGCTAACATGGTGAAACCCCGTCTCTACTAAAAATACAAAAAATTAGCCGGGTGTGGTGGCAAGCACCTGTAGTCTCAGCTACTCGGGAGGCTGAGGCAGGAGAATGGCGTGAACCTGGAAGGCGGAGCTTGCAGTGAGCCGAGATTACGCCACTGCACTGCAGCCTGGGCGACAGAGCGAGACTCCGTCTCAAAAAAATAAAAAATAAAAAATAAAAAATGTGCCCAGGATCCTCTGTCTTCTGACAGTTTGTCTACCCCGCCAACTCCTTATTTTATTTGTGTCTTCATAGTCATTCTAGCCTGTTCTAATTTTGTCTTCATTTTTGTAATGAAAACTTTTGCAGGTCTTCAAGATTATATCTGGAACCTTCTTCTAGTTTGCCTTAACTTATCCCTGTTCCTTAATCCCAAAATTATTATTGGCTTTCTCTGAAGCATGACAGTGGTTACCGGTAAGGTCAGAAATTACACAAAATATTAAATGCCCACTTTTCCTTTTAGACAAACATGAAGAACCATCACCACTGTCACAAACGTTTTAACCCTGCTGCATTGGTGAAGTGCTACTCCTTACCTCTCAGCTCCCATGCTACTTAATAGCAAATCTGATTGCAACACCTCACATTATGAAGGTCTAAACAACATTTGGCTCTACTCTGCCTTTCTGAGATTTAAGAGAGGGACCTTAACTCTTTTAGTATGAAACTACAGTCACTTTCAGAAAGAGAGAATTTAAGCCGTCCTTACAGGAACTTCAAAAATGTCTGTAGAAGTATTCAGAGATGAGCACAAAGGGTAGAGAAAATCAAATGTAAATTATGTTTCCCTTTAATTTTCATGTGGGTTGTATTCTAAAGCAAACAATTGTACATTGGATGACTTTTGTGGATGATGAGCTGTTTCCTTCTGTCTTTCACAAGCCTCTGTGACAGTAAGGGGTATATAAAGCTCTGAGTGAAGATCTGAAGCTGTTATTAAAATGGAAATATTTAAAGCAGCCAGGAGTCTGTGAGAGTCTGTTCTGGTGACACATTAATGCATTTGAAAGGATATTAAAGCTTAACACAGAGGGGAAATAGTTCTAATGGCAAAATGTAAAGCTGCTTAACAGAATTACACCTAGAACTCTGTGTATTAGGTCTAAAATACCTCTACTCTTATATTACTCAGAGTAAAGCTGTATGTTGGTTTGAGTGCTTCTGCAGTTTTACAGTTTCCTAATTTCAGGTCTTAGTGTTTTTAAGTGCAAAAATTATGTTCTGGTTTATGCTTTTGTAGAGTCAATTGGTAGTGCTTCTCACCTTGTGTGTGAGACTTAAAGATGTGCCATGTTTCAACAACATTTTCATCAGTGTGTAAAGGTTATTTTTTTACAACAAAAGATATGAACTTGTCTTACACAGATTATTGAGAAGGGCCCATCATGCCACACAGTAGAGTGCATGTCATGTCTGGAAGTAGAAGAGAAGAGGCTTGATGAAAAACTAAGTCAGCACCAAGAAAGACGGCATGTTTCTGTTTGCATGAATGATTGTGACCCTATTCATATGCAAAAAAGTGGGATCCATTCACTAAATAGTTTTTCTTAAGCAAGAACACAAGATAAGAGGGCCCATAACTCACTGTCACGCTGTAGTCCTGACTTTTCTAAATACCCCTGAGTAATGGAGAGTCATTTTGATTCTTTTCATCCTTCACTGTACAACCCAAACTTGAATATCCCAGAGCATTCCATAAAGAAAAAATGCTAGAGAAACACTGAAAATATGTCTCTAATTTTGCTTTAAGATGCAAAATGGTAAAACAGTATAGAAAATAAGGTGTCTGTCCTTGAGGAAATTACAATTCACCTGCAGACATGAAATACTGTTACAGTGTAAGAATACTGGTGATTAGGTGAAAAATCTAGAAACTAGTACTTCTGCGTTATACGACACTATGTAGTAGAAATATTTTACCTGAGAAATAAATAAGCTTTAGATTCAAATTACAGATACTGTATTGCTTAAAAATACATACCATGATCTAATAAGATTATTGTATAAAACTACAGTATACTTGGAAAATATTGATCATGAGGTACAGATGCACAAGCTGTGCTGAACAAAAGATAAGTTAGGGAAAGAAGGGTCTGTATTTACATTTTTTAATATATACCATGTAGTAATTCCCAAATTAGGGTTAAAATATTTGTACTATCCACAGACAACTTCAATAGCTTATTCATTCATTACTTAAGTCTTAAAGGGAGGCATTTACTTTTCATGGTCAAATCAAGAAATAATTTTTAATATGTTTCATTTTGAACATGGGGTGAAAATAATTAAGAATTATAATGTATACTTGTTCTTATAAGAATTATACTTATAATGTTGATTTGAATTTGTTTCCTTTTAGCACTTTTATCCATGTTGATCCTAGTTATGCCCTTCCAATTAAATAATGTCTCTGATTACTTCATTTTATAAAGTTACTATGTCATAATAATTAAATCCTTGTGCTTTATAATCCCAGTAGAACTGATGTAAAACATGGTTTTCCCATTTGAATTTGCACAAATTAATTTATATAGTTACTATTATTCCTATTTTATACTTAACAAAACTATGGTCATAAATTAATAAATAAATGCCCATATCAAAAAGTTAGAAAGATCTCAAATTGACATCCTAACATCACAACTAAGAGAACTAGAGAACCAATAGCAAACAAACCCCAAAGCTAGCAGAAGACAAGAAATAAACAAGATCAGAGCGGAACTGAAAAAGATAGAGACAGCAAAATCCCTTCCAAAGAAAATCAACAAATCCAGGAGCTGGATTTTTTGAAAAAAATCAAAAAAATAGACCATGGGCCGGGCATGGTGGCTCTTGCTTGTAATCCCAGCACTTTGGGAGGCCAAGGCAGACGAATCAGTTGAGGTCAGGAGTTCGAGACCAGCCTAGACAACATGGTGAAATGCTGTCTCTACTAAAAATACAAAAATTAGCTGAGTATGGTGGCATGCAACTGTAGTCCCAGCTACTAGGGAGGCTGAGGCAGGAGGATCACTTGAACTCAGTAGATGAAGGTTGCAGTGAGCCAAGATCGTGTCACTGCCCTCCAGACTGGACAATAGAGTGAGACTCCATCTCAAAAAAAAAAAAAAAAAAAAAGACTGCTAGCTAGACTAATAAAGAAGAAAAGAGAGAAGAATCAAATAGACACACAAAAAAGATAAAGGGGACCCCACAGAAATACAAACAACCATCAGAGAATACTATAAACAGCTATATGCAAATAAACTAGAAAATCTAGACAAAAAGGATAAATTCCTGGAAACATACACCCTTCCAAAACTGAACAGTAAGAATTTGAATCCCTGAATAAATCAATAACAAGTTCTGAAATTGAGGCAGTCATAAATAGCTTACCAACCAAAAAATGCCCAGGACTAGATGGATTTACAGATGAATTCTACCAGAGGTAAAAGAGGAGTTGGTACCATTTCTTCTGAAACTATTTCAAACAATTCAAAAGGATGGACTCCTCCCTAACTCATTTTTCGATGCCAGCATCATCCTGATACCAAAACCTGGCAGAGATACAACAAAAAAAGAAAACTTTAGGCCAATATCCCTTATGAACATTAATGCAGAAATCCTCAATAAGATACTGGCAAACCAAATCCAGTAGCACATCAAAAGGCGTATCCACCACAATCAAGTGGGCTTCATCCCCATGATGCAAGGCTCGTTCAACATATGCAAATCATAAATGTAATTCATCACATAACAGAACTAAAGACAAAAACCACATGATTATCTCAATAGACACAGAAAAGGTCTTTAATAAAGTTGAACATCCCTTCATGTTAAAAACTCCCAATAAACAAGGTATTGATGGAACATACCTCAAAATAGTAACAGTCATTTATGACAAACCCACAGCCAATATCATACTGAATGGACAAAAGCTGAAAGCATTCCCCTTGAAAACTGGCATAAGACAAAAATGCTGTCTGTCACCACTCCTATTAAACATAGTGTTGGAAGTTCTGGCCAGGGCAATCTAGGCCAGAGAAAGAAAGAACGGGTACTCAAATAGGACGAGAAAAAGTCAAACTGTCACTCTTTGCAAATGACATGGTCCTATATCTAGAAAACCCCAGAATCTCAGCCCAAAAGCTTCTTAAGCTGATAAGCAACTTCAGCAAAATCTCAGGATACAAAATCAATGTGTAAAAATCACAAGCATTCCTACATACCAACAATAAACAAGCAGAGAGCCAAATTATGAATTAATTCCCATTCACAATTGCTGCAAAGAGAATAAAATAAATAGGAATAGAGCTAACAAGGGAAGTAAAGGACCTTTTCAAGGAGAACTACAAACCACTGCTCAAGGAAATCAGAGAGGACACAAATGGAAAGACATTCCATGCTCGTGGATAAGAAGAATCAATATCATGAAAATGACCATACTGCTCAAAGTAATTTATAGATTCAATGAGATTCCCATTAAAATATCACTGATATTCTTTACCTAGAATTAGAAAAAAACTAAAGTTCATATGGAACCAAAAGAGAGCCCACATAGCCAAGACAATTCTAAGCAGAAAAAAAAACTGGAGGCGTCACGCTACCCAACTTCAAACTATACTACAGGGCTACAGTAACCAAAACAGCATTGTATTGGTACAAAAACAGACACATAGACCAATGGAACAGAATGGAGATCTCAGAAATAAGACCACACAACTACAACCATCTGATCTTTGACAAAACTGACAAAAACAAGCAATGGGGAAAGGATTTCCTATTTAATAAATGGTGCTGGGAGAATAGGCTAGCCTATGCACAGAACTGAAACTGGACCCCTTCTTTACACCTTACACAAAAATTAACAAGATGGATTAAAGACTTAAATGTAAAACACACAACTATAAAAACCCTTGAAGAAAACCTAAGCAATACCATTTAGGACATAGGCACCGGCAAAGATTTCATAATGAAAATGCCAAAAGCAACTGCAACAAAAGCCAAAATTGACAAATGGGATCTTATTAAACTAAAGAGCTTCTGTACAGCAAAAGAAACTATCATCAGAGTGAACAGGCAACCTACAGAATGGGAGAAAATTTTTGCAATCTATCCATCTGACAAAGGCTTAATATCCAGCATCTACAAGGAACTTAAATTTATAAGAAGAAAACAAACAACTCCATTAAAAAGTGGGCAAAGAACACGAAGAGACATTTCTCAAAAGAAGACACTTATGCAGCCAAAAAACATGTGAAAAAAAGCTCAACATTGCTGATCATTAGAGAAATGCAAATCAAAACCACAGTGAGATACCATCTCACGCCAGTCAGAATGGCAATTATTAAAAAGTCCATAAACAACCGATGCTGGCAAGGCTGTGGAGAAACAGGAATGCTTTTATACTGTTGGTGGAAATGTAAATTAGCTCAACCATTCGGGAAGACAGTGTGGCTATTCCTCAAAGACCTAGAGGTAGAAATAAAATTAAATATCATTTAACCCAGCAATCCCATTACTGGGTATATACTCAGAGGAATATAAACCATTCTTTTATAAAGATATGTGCACGCATATGTTCGTTACAGCACTACTCACAATACCAGAGACATGGAATCAACCCAAATGCCCATCAATGATAGACTGGAAAAAGAAAATGTGGTACATATACACCATGGAATACTATGCAGCCATAAAAATGGAAGGAGATCATGTCCTTTGAAGGGACAGGGATGGAGCTGGAAGCCATTATCCTCAGCAAACTAACACAGGAACAGAAAACCAAACACCCCAAGTTCTCGCTTACAAGCGAGAGCTGAACAATGAGAACACATGGACACAGGGCTGGGGAACAATACACACGACGGCTTGTCAGGGGGCAGGGTGGGGAGGGGGAGAGCATTAGGAAAAATAGCTAATGCATGCTGAGTTTAATACCTAGGTGAAGGGTTGATAGGTATAGCCAACCGCCATGGCATACGTTTACCTATGTAACAAACCTGCACATCCTGCACTTGTATCCTGGATCTTAAAATTAAATTAAATTAAAATTTTAAAAAATACATAAAAGAAATGTGAAGATAAAAAACAAAAAGCATCCTTTTTTCTATTTGTACATATGTTTAATAATGTATATAGTATATTAACTCAGTAATGTGGGAGATTTTATATATATTATATATAAATATATGCACATATTCATATATATTATATATACCTAGCGAAATTTTTTTCCAGCTAAGGCTGTCCAATCCAGAATGGTAGAAGACCTCTCTGCTTCTCAACTGGCTTTTTGTAATAGACTCTGACTGGTCTTTCAGTCCAACTCTCAGCTCTGATTGAACCTGGCAAGAAAATATTGATTGGACATCTGGTACCCTTTGGCCCCAGTCCTTTGCTCTTGCCATTTCCTTACCTAAAATATCCTTCCCTTTCCTCTGACACATTTCCATTTTATACCATCCTTCAAGACTCAGTTCAGATGACCTCTTCTTGATCTTCTGCCTGAAGTGACCTTTCTCTCTTCTAAAAATCCATGGCAGGGATGTTCACAATTCTGCTATGGCAAGCTTCATAGTCAATAGTGATTTGTTTTTATGTATTTTCCCAAGTAGTTAATCATAAGCTCCTTAGGGAGAAAGTCCATTTTTATATACTTTCATACCCTCGACACAGCCAGAACAGTGCACATAGTAGGTACTCAATAATCATCTATTTAATTAAGTAATTGAAATTATGAATAGCAATCTCCTTAACTTCCTCCAAGTTACATTGCAATTTGTGTTTTTTTAAGACTACTTCTATTTTTAACTACAGTATATACTTGGTAAAGGATTTTACAACTCTCTAAATTAGCCCATGGTGATTACCCCTACTGTGCAATTTGCCACTATTTTATTAAAGCAAGATTAAAGATAATACTTCATTGGAAGAAGTAACAGCAGCATTAACCTCTATTTACCTTGACATAATAAAGCTTTAATAAAACATGGGCAAATTGCATTGAGGGGGATAATTATTCTAACATAAAATTTAAAGGGAATTTAATTTCTTATTCTTGCATGTTTAGTGCTTTAAGATTAGTGTCATTAATGTCCTTTTTCTCATTTATAGAGGATACATAAAAACATTCAACCCTCTCCAATTTGTTTTCTTATTAAATAATTCTGAATTTATATTCAAATTCATAAACATAAGAACATAATTTTAAATGTACAGTTTTTCAGAAGTAAGTATCCTTATAGAATGTCAGGGCAGCAAGCATTGTGTGGGAGAGATTTTACCCCAAGCCAAAAAAAAAAAAAAAAAACAACAACAAAAAAAAAAAAGCATCTTTGGCATCCTTGTCTAAATTTTTGAGTGTTGAATCAAGAAGATTCTTGTTTGTTTTATATCCTCTGGCTTTATTACATCAGACAAGCTTCAAAGGGGCAGAGCACATAGGATTGAAAAATAACACAGCTGCATTTTGCAATGGAGTGTTCTGCCTCTGCCTATGTTTTGTTGTTCATGTAATACTTTTCAATAAACAAAGATGTCAATCAACTCTCTTTGCAGCACATCACATTTCAGATTTAAACCACTTCAGACACATCACTGCCCCAAGCTCACGCATTTAACAGATAAAAATTCAGCTTTCTGTCAAGGCAGAATGCAGTATCGATTGTAGGTGGTATTTAGGCGAGAGTGTGGCAGAATAATATTACCTCTACAGTCACATATAGTCCACTATAGAAGCATAACATAAAGTGCATTAGGCTGCTTACAAAATTTTTTTTCTAATGGCTCAGCATTGATTAATAGCCATTTCCAAACACATTCCTAGGAAAGACTTCTACATGCAGCAAATTGTGAGGGTGGCAGAGGGGGGTTAGGAACACATGATAGCAATCATGAAAACTTTGATCACTTGATTTGATTCTAGTGCTTTGTAAATTAGCATAATTATTCAAACATGCTTCATTAAAAATCGTGACTGTACAAGTCCTTCAGTTTAATGATCCAAGTATATATCACGTGAGCCAAGCTTTAAATAAGAATACCAACTCAGTGCTAGGATGCTGTGAGAGATTTGTTCTTAAAATCAAGAGAAAGTGTAAAAACACAAACTCCAAAACCCAAACCAGGAAAAAAGAAATCTAATAGGCACACCAACAGTGCATGTGGTGGGTAATATTTTTCTATTTATCTTCACATCTATCTGAATGTCTCTTGAGGCCACCAAAGGTTAGATACCACGTCACTTCTAAGCTACTAGAAGATTGGCATACAATCCCTGTAAATCTCAAACTAATTACATTTGAATTTTAGGTGTCACAGCTAGTTTTGACCTTTGAAGGCTGGCAGAAGAAAAGTTTGACAGTTCTTAAAGTGTTCCCAGGTACTAAAAGAGGTTGTTTCAAATTAATGAAAGAAAGGGAGAGAAGCTAAATTAATGATGCCAAAGATATTAATAAGGCTACCGTTATTGGCATACATTTAATTATGTATCAGATCTCATTTAATAATGATGTCAAATTCACTTATAGTGCAGGTTATATAAGGAAAATAAAGACGGCATACGAATACAAGACACTCCATTATTTTGGTTGTTCTATTAATACTAAGTACTAACTTAGAGACATGTGAATTATATTCATGGGGTTAAAATAGAGAGTATGGGGGGATTAGTTTTAAGTTAAATTAATCTGCTCCTAAATCACTCAAATTTTGAAGCACAATGGATAATGACTAAGGCTCCCTGATTTTATGTAGTTCTTGTGATACATGGAGTTGGTTTAAGAATAGACTGTCACTTTCCACATCACTATTTTCTTGCTTTTGACAATTTATGTGGCATCATCAGACAGACATTTCAAAGAGTCTATAACAATTTTAAAGTAGATTAAATTTTAGAGTGTAATGTATTTTCAAAATACTGTATATTTTATTTGAATCTACAGCTTTATTGCTAAATATATTAAGGGCTACAGAATTAAAATGCAAACTCTCACGGGTGGCCTTTTAACACCACAAAAATAGTCATTAATCTCAGAAATGTTAAATTGATCATTTGCTCTCATTGTAATGAAATAGCATCAACATCAGGTCCCTGGGAACCTTTCAAGTTCACTGATAGTCTGGTGGATCTTGATCAGGTGCCTACATCAAATATTGTGTCCATGTCTGGGAGTAATTTGAGGGAGAAAAATAGTGACAGATGACTCTCATTAGTCACAAAAATATAACAAATGTAAAAGTGACAAAAATCACTTGTACATCAAGTGATATGATGAACAAGGAAAAAATCTAAATGCATAGTTCTAGGCAACTACAGTAATTCTTATGTCAGGTGACAAAATGTGGTCCACAATGTGTACCCAAAACTTTTTCTATCAATAGATAGATTATGAAGGTTAATAACTGACCATGAAACCATGAATCTCAGAGAACCTTCCTAAAGGGCTGTAGCCATTTCTCTGGAGTGTTTCAATCTTAAAGGATTAATTTACATCATCCATGTTATTAATATTATAAGAGCAAACCTCTAAGAAACAAATACAAACTTCTACAAAACAAGTCTGGGAATAGAAATTAGAGAATTATGCTTAAAACTAGTAGTAGTTAAATAATAATAAATAGAAAAAGTTAAGACTTTAAATTATTTGAAGGCAGAGATCATTTCTTGTCTACCTTTATTATCTCAGGACTTATCACAACAGTTGGCTTTATATTTAACTCTTGATAAATAATTGAACGATACTCATTTCATCCTTATCATTTGTTCTGTTTTTCTGTGAATAAAATTTAAACATGATGAATTCAGGTCATAAGAAGTAGTTTAGCAAAGTTTGAGTGCAAGCTATAGGAGGAGTATGGGAAAGTGATGAAAATAATAATGTCTGCAGATAAATTATTCTCTCTGGCTTTTTATGCCATGTCAAATAATTGAGACTTTTTCCTATAAACAATGCAAACCTTTGAAGGGTTTTAAATTGGAAGGTAACATGATCAATACTATGCTTTAAAAATAGCACCCTGTAGTGAGTATATAGAAGATGAATTTAAGCAGGGCAAGACTGATCAATTAGGAAGTTGTTGCATTTTTTAAGGAAAAAAAAGGTTATGTGCAATAAGGCATTAACAGCAAGAATGATTTAATAAGCAGAGAAGGAGAAGTTGGTCAGGCAGAGTCAGAATAACAATAACATAAATAATAAATGATATTTATTGAGCATTTACTAGGAGCCAAACACTATTCAAAACACCTGGCCTGGGTGCGGTGGCTCACGCCTGTAATCCCAGCACTTTGGGAGGCCAAGACGGGCGGATCACGAGGTCAGGAGATCGAGACCACAGTAAAACCCCGTCTCTACTAAAAATACAAAAAATTATCCGGACGTGGTGGCGGGCGCGGTGGCGGGCACCTCTAGTCCCAGCTATTCAGGAGGCTGAGGCAGGAGAATGGCGTGAACCCGGGAGGCGGAGCTTGCAGTGAGCCGAGATCGCGCCAGTGCACTCCAGCCTGGGCGACAGAGCGAGACTCCGTCTCAAAAAAAAAAACAAAAAACAAAAAACAAACAAAAAAAACACCTGGACTGTAATAACTCATTTAAACTTCACAACAGTTCTATGGGAGAGGAATTATTATTATATTCCTATAAAGATGAGGAAATTCTACAGATTAGGTAGCTTGCCAAAGGTCACACAGCTGGTAAGTGGCCGTGGTGGGATTCCGATACAGGATACTTGCCTCCAAGGCCTGCCTCCAAACTATTGCTTTATGACTTGTAGATTTCTAGGCTTATGTGACACGGCAGATAATCATGCTATTCCCACACACAATGGGAATATGCGAAATACATTTACAGCATGGTTTCCCAACCTTGGCATTATTGACACTTTGGGCTATTTTTTAAAAAATTATTTGAGGAGACTGTCCTGTGCATTGTAGGATGTTTCCCACCATCTCTGACCTCTATGCATTAGATGCCAGTAGCACATACCCCCACCCATTGTCAAGGCTATGTCTCTAGACTTTGCCTAACGTCCCATGGGACCTCAATCATCCCCTACTGAGAACCACTAATTTATTTTTTAAAAAAAGAAAAAACAATAATAAGTTCAGTTTTTGTTACAGTGTCTTATAATGAGTTTTAGTTCCTTCATTTAGGCAAGTTGCGATGCCCAGCCAAAAGCTAACTTTATAAAATTAGAATTCAAGAGAGATTCTGAGTGGAGCCATATATCTAGCAAATCATGGTATAATCAATAACTGGATGAGATTTTCAGGGACAATGTAAGATCAACAGAGGGCAAATATAAGCCTTAGAGGCACAAACATTTAGAAGATAAGAAGAAGAGGAATCCTAAAAAACAAAGGTGAGAAGATGTAGAAAGGAGAAGAAAATCAAGGGGAGGACACAGTTTTTAACAATGTTGAATTTTGCAGAGATGAAGTAAATAAAGACTGAATAACACTAATTGGATTTAGCAACTAGTATGATGCTGGTGGCTGCTACTGGGACCATTTATAATTTCTTCCTGGGAATTATATTTTTCTTTTTTTTTTCCTCAATATTTCTTCTGTGACTTCATATACTCTATGCCTATACTCTAACTGGTCAGATCTCAAGGCCTTCAGGAATCAGCTAGCAGCTCTGCCCAGCTTCAGACTAGTCTTTATGACTAGCAAAGTCATGTGCTTTCAAGAATACTATTTCTGTTGGACAGATAATCTATGTCTAGCCCAAATGCTAATGAAAATTTGTGCTGGATATCAGATGGTAATTAGCCTGGATGATCATGTCCTTCTTGCATAGGGAGTTTGAAGATGAAATACAGAGAAAGAGATCAAGAGGCCAACAGAGAGGTGAGAGAGGCATCAGAATGGCTGAGCAAGAAGGAAGAGCTGAGGCCTCATTCTTACAATATCCCCCAATTATATGAGATCATCGGGTTCTATTTTTCTAACAATCTGAAAGACAAACACACACATACAAACTAGTTCCAGGAACAGGGCTGCAACAATGGACCCTCAGGTGGAATGTGAACTGCTGGTGGCTTAAAGGCAGTTTTAAGGTGGGAAGCAGTGAGAGCAATCACTCCTGTGAGTACTTATCTAAAAGTGATTGGTCTGACAGCTAAGACTGTGATACAAGTGTCAATAAATGCCATGTAACAGAAGTTGGGCAGAGGGTGGCATCTCTTTTGTGAGCTAATTTCCTATGGCTGACCTTACCCAGCAAGTTCACTGCCCTCAGGTCAGAATCTAGATAAGGTTATGCCATAGCACTTAGGGTCATTGAAAATAATACAATCCTGGAGTCATATCAACCTATGAGCCCATTATTAGCTGTGAAAAAGCAGGTAATTAAAAGCTTTCCTGTGCACATTGCAAGTAAGATGCCTGGTGATTGATGCATAAAAGTTGTTCCTAGGGTTTAAGGATGTACAGGTAGTGAAGTTATTTTATATGTGTGTATGTATTTTGGTGTAATTTTTTTTAACTTCGAGTGACCTTTGTTGAGACAAAGGCCAATTCTGGTTCTAGATTTCACAGCTAGACGATGGTAGAAAACACAGGGCTATCGTATGACTGTGGCTTGTAGTCACATAGTCAGTATGCTAAGACCTGTTCTTGAAGCCATAATGTCAGTTAACTTTAGAACCCCTTGTTTGTAAAACCACATGATAGCTCCACAAAGTTGAATTTCTTCTAGAAACATGAAAAAAAAAATCTACGAGGTATGTGAGAAAACTTGGGTAGAAGCAGGTTGCCCCATGAACCCCTGTGGAAACCTTCACAAACTGTTCACCACCCTTCAGGAAGAACCCCTGTGGAAACCATCACACAGTATTCACCACCACTGTTTGTCACATTGCAATATGTAATCCATAAGGAAGGTGTGATTGCACATGAACCTGTGGTTTAGATGCAAAATGGCATTAGAAAGTAACTTCACCCAGAATGACTTTCAGAAATAGGATAGACGTAGAGTTGGCAAACTATGGCCTGCTGGTGGACTGCCTGTTTTTGCAAATATATTTTTATTAAAATGCAGCTACACTCATACATTTACCTATTGTCCATGGCTGCTTTTCTACTACAGTAGCAGAGTTTAGTAGTTGCAAGTGTCCACATGGCCCTGAAGCATAAAACATTTACTATCTGATCCTTTCAGAAGAAAGTCGTGACCCTTGGTGTAGACTAGAGATTTCTGACTGAAGCAGAAGAGAATAGACTTGTCTGTGTGCCCCAGGATTGGGAGATCTGGGAGTAATTTGTGCTGAAATGACTGGTTAATGAGGTTTTCACCAAAGACCCCACGTTTTACAGACTAGGACAGACACCTGCAGATCTAACTGCTTTATCTCTTATCTAAACCTGGTCAGCCACAGTTTTGGCCTGAGATGTCCCACATCAAAGAGCCAGGGAATCACTAATCCCTGGAATAATGTAGCCCAGACAGTTGTATGTTTTGTTTTGTTTGATGAGATTACTAATTTTGCTCCAGCTGAATAACCATTAATGCAGAAAAAAAGAATTTCATGGTAAAATAAGTTTGGGACATGTGGGCATGTTTAATTAAACCAAGTTAAACCAGTTATATATGCCATGATTTTTCAATCTTTAGTAGGCTAAAATGCCTTGTGAATCTATGAAAAGAGGAAAGAGGTTAAGATGTATTCAACACTTTCCTCACAGTATTTGTAAAACTTAAATTTCTTAGGTATGCCCTTTGAGAATTCAAAGTGAAAGAAAGAATACAGACCTGTTTGGCACTCTCTTATCATAGGGTCTTTACATATCTTGTTTCCTCTTGGAACATTCTCCCCACCCCCACCACCTCTACCACACACACTTTTCTTGTTAGCTCCAAATAATCAGCAAGTTTTTGGTCCACACTCAATTCTGCCATAGCCATCCCCAAATTATGTCAGATCACCTATTTTACATGTCCATAGGATCTATAACTCACAGCCTTATCATCGGTATATTTTTAAGTTTATTTGGATGATGAATTTATTAATGGCTATCTTGCTCAACAGAATCCCAACTTCATGGAGATCACCACCAAATTCCTATCACCCATAACAGTGCCTAATAGCATGTGGTAAACGTTCAATAAACATTGATTGAATGCGTGAATGGGTGTATAATGTGCATTGAGCAACACAGTGCTGTGATTAGTCTCCATTGGAAGCTTGAGGATTCACTTAATTAAAAGCTGACTGACAAAAGATGATTCTGATAAATTAAAATCTTCCAGTTCTGAGTTTTTCACAGCCAGGAAGGGATTTGTGTGTGTGTGTGTGTGTATGTGACCATAAAGCTACTCATCTTGAGTACAGGCTTACTCAAAGCAAGATAAAAAACTCTAATTGATCCAAGCTCCAGTGTAAGGCACTCATGACTTCTCTGCTTTAAGTATCTGAGGCAGACAGCCATTCTGGAGAGAGCATATGTGTGTATCCTTAAAATGAGAACCATTGTGAAGTCTCCAGAATTTTGAATAAAGAACACAGTCCCTGAGGGGCCACTCTCCTTCTGAGAAATAGATCCTTCTGTGTTGATGAACTTCTGTGTGCCGTAAAACCAGACGGAGATGTGTATTATATGTATTTAAGGTACCTATAAAATATTTTTGTGAAAATGCCTAAGATCCGTAGGTTTTAAACTTGGGAAGGCAGTCCCAGATGGAAAAATCTATTGTAAAGCCATAAGTGTAGATACAGTTGCCAAGGAAGGCACAAGTAAATAAAATCGTAATAATAACAATAATAAAAGCAGAAGAACAACTCTAGAGAAGGTGACTTTGAGGGTGGGTGACAGAAAAGAAGATCGAATCCAAAAAGATCCAAAACAAATAAATGCGATTAGATGTTAATGTTTGTTAAAGCTAGCTGGTGGAAACACAGATGTCTGTTACATTATTTCTTACACTTTTAGTTTGTTTCAAATATTCCAAAACAATGTTTGAAATCCCTGAGAAGTGACCAGAAAGTCAGGAAGTAAAGCAGGAGGAAGCTACTTACTTGAATCCAGGGAAGGATGGCATTTCATGTAGGCTGAGGTCAACGATAAAATGCAGGGGTCAAGCAAGATAAAGATTGAAAACTGTCAGTTGTTTTGTCAATTGAAAGATTATTGTGACTTTACTGAGAACAGCTTCAGAAGACACGTGGGGCAGATGACAAATGTTATTTGGTATAAGAGTAAAAAGAAGATGAAACAAGCTGACAACTAAAAAGTAAGGCTGTTTGTTATCCCACCTATCAATGCGTAGGGCAGTAGTTAAATGACATCATCAGAATTTAGGTCTTTTCATCTTTCTGTTATATCCTCATCATTTTGGATTTTGCCCTCAGGCTTGCCCCTTCATACTCCTTAATGGTTGCAGCAACTTCAGGCATTTAGTCCTCAAACAACAGCATTCAGAAGCAAAGAAAAAGGCGGAGGAGCAGAATCAGGGGAAGATGTTTTCCTGCCTATTTCTTTTTGAAATGAGAAAACTTTTCCCAGTATCACTCAGGAAACTTCCCCTCATCCTTATTGGCCAAAATAGTATGTGCTCAGCCCTAGACCAATCATCAGTAAGGTGGTGGGTGAGACTACAACACAATTGAAGACTGTACTCCCTGAAACTACAGATGGGCACCTTCTTGGAAAACGAGACAGCAAAAGATAAGCACGTGATAAAATGCGGGCTCTGCTATGCTTGCAAGAAGCAAGAGAGTGATTGTAAAGAAGGGAGTAGTTCGGGAGGCGGAGCTTGCAGTGAGCTGAGATCGCGTCACTGCACTGCAGCCTGGACGACAGAGCAAGACGCCGTCTCAAAAAACAAAAAGAAGGGAGAAGTTGAGTTAGACAGTTAAGAGTGTCGGCCACAGCCTATCATGGAAATATCTAGCAGACAGAGAGAGGTCGAGGTGCAGCAGGGAGAGAAGAGAAGGGCTGGCTGCAGGTCTCTGGTTAAGGAGAGGTGGAGCAAGGATGGCAGAACCAGGACACGGTTAAAGAGATCAGTCTTCGACACAAGGAAGTCCCAGTGCACAAAAAGGGAGAAGGTTAGGCAGAAAAGGTGAAAGTGAGGATAAAGGTCAGATACAGGTAACTTTTAAGAGTCCAGATGAGTTTGTTACAGGTGGAAGTCAGCAAATATAACAATATGTGTAAGCAGCACAAGCTGTAGGTTGCCAGAGCTTGATGGGAGCACTGGGGAGAGTCCACGTCTCACACAACTTGTAATTCCCAAACAATTAATGAGAGAGATAATTAACTCTAGATGGATTGGAAAGAGTTGACTGAATTAAATAGGATTATGGAAATATGAGATAAGAAAAGCATCTTCCACGTCAATTTGGCCTTAAAAAATCTTTATAGCTACATATTTATTTACATCATACTAATATATAAAAATTTGCATGCTTATCAGCATAACATATGTTGTTACGTGGGAAAAAAAAACTTCACATAGAGCCTGTCATACAGTAGATCCTCAATAAATGTCCATTTCTGATTTGCATCCTACTTCTATACCGGGTCCATTAAAAAGTCTAATCATACCCAACCCAATTTGTATACCTCCCTAGATTTGCTTGGCTCCATTTGTCTCCTAGGCACTTGATGGCTTGCTCTGTGGAGAGCCCCAACCAGCTGGTTCCACTTAACCTGCATGTGGACTGGGCTCAGGCATGGCTTTCCCTGATGCTCTGCATAGCCAGTGGGAAGATGCAAACCCTCTACTGGCCTGACACCCAGTCTTAGATGAAGTGCAATACCCAATGTCGGCCAGGCCTCCTTATTGTCTACTAGGAGGCACTGGATAACACCACTAGAAGGGAGGGCGTCTTAAACATTCACAGCTCTTCAGAGTGTCTCAAAAGTGGGACTTGAGCTACAATAGCTCAGAGTGCTAACCAGCTGGGTTATATGGTTGAACATGGACCAGTGAGAACAGAACAGAAGGATCTGGGAGATAATTTATTTTCATTTTGCGCATGGCCCACTGACTCTGCTCAAAGGCACAGTGGTTCTCTACAGCCTGTCCTGAAAGGGCCCTAGGATCGATCAACCAGCTAACTGGGAAGCTGTTGCCATCTTGGTAATACAGAATGTTATATTTGCTTTCCTCCTTTTCTATCCTACTCCCCTTTTCTGCCTCTTCATACTGTTCTGAGATTTCATACCAGCCCTGCCCCTCCCTTAAATGGTTAACAAGTGAGCTTTTCCTCCTCAGGATCTGTTTTCTAGGGAACCCCAGCGAAGACTCAACAAACAGCTGGATTGCTGACCTGTTCAGCATACACATCAAGAGTGTGAAACAATAACGCTGTCTGCCAATTCGCAAACACACAACTCCAACTGATGAAAACTGTTCAAATATCCCTTTAGCCCTTAAAAGAATATTGCACACTTAAAAGGAATAATATAATCATTTCAAAGCAATCCATGAAATATACCTGGCAAAGGTCTGGCACAAAC
This sequence comes from Homo sapiens, assembly GCF_000001405.40. NCBI lineage: Eukaryota > Metazoa > Chordata > Mammalia > Primates > Hominidae > Homo > Homo sapiens. Next base: position 97,755,628 of record NC_000006.12, on the reverse strand, counting down.
TAGGCACTCCGTAAATATTCATTAGGTGTATTATTCATAGATTTCCACCCAATTTCAGGGAGAACAAGAGACAACATGGAGAGAAATAAAGCATTTGTTGTCCTTTATTTTGAGCATGTGCACAGTCAGGAACAACTTAACATCCTCAATGAACTATAAGAAGTGTTTCTGGGCCAGAGGCGGTGGCTCTCGCCTATAATCCCAGCACTTCGGGAGGCCGAGGCGGGCGGATCACGAGGTGAGGAGATCGAGACCATTCTGGCTAACATGGTGAAACCCCATCTCTACTAAAAATACAAAAAATTAGCCAGGCGTGGTGGCAGGTGCCTATAGTCCCAGCTACTTGGGAGGCTGGGGAGGGAGAATGGCGTAAACCCGGTAGGCGGAGTGTGCAGTGAGCCGAGATCACTCCACTGCACTCCATCCAGTCTGGGCAGCAGAGCAAGACTCCGTCTCAAAAAAAAAAAAAGTTTCTGTGTTCAGTGCTAGATCACATGGTGGGGACTGGGTATGGCAATTAGACTATAAGTCTATGGATAGAGACTCAAACCTCAGAGAGAGTAGCCTAATCCAGTTTGGATGTGAAACAGCACAGGCCACGGGAGATCAGCGAGCCAGACCACAGGTGGCTGCTGTCAGTTCAAAGGCAGATGTGCCAAGGATGAGAAGCTCCCATGTAATCCAGGACTTGTCAGCCCTCAGACAAGTCATCCATAAGTCCACCCTGCAGTCTGTGGTTGTATTGTGAATATATACTTTAGACGGTCATGTGTGTTATCTTGTGCTTAATCCTACCAGTTGTGGAGTTAAAGCCTCAGTGTTGTAATAAATATTATACACAGAACCACCTCTAGTTTCAGTATGAAGGTGAGATGTGTGTACAATTCTAATTTACTCTAGAATTCTCAAAATGCAAGTTATTTGCATACAACTTCTAATACTTCACAATGGATAACAACAAAGTGTATTTTCCTCAAACATGCTTTAATTACAAAATTAAATAACCGATGAGACCAATTCTAAACCTTTATAAAAGTTGAAACTTGAAAATTATCCTAAATGATATCTACCTCTAATAATGTGGTTATTCTTTTCTTTTCTTTTTTTTTTTTTTTTTTGAGATGGAGTCTCACTCTGTCGCCCAGGCTGGAGTGCAGTGGCGCGATCTTGGCTCACTACAAGCTCTGCCTCCCGGGTTCACGCCATTCTCCTGCCTCAGCCTCCCCAGTAGCTGGGACTATAGGTGCCCACCACCACGCCCGGCTAATTTTTGTTGTATTTTTTAGTAGAGACAGGGTTTCACCATGCTAGCCAGGATGGTCTCGATCTCCTGACCTCGTGATCCACTTGCCTTGGCCTCCCGAAGTGCTGGGATTACAGGAGTGAGCCACCGCGCCTGGCCGGTTATTCTTTTAAAACAACAGTTCAAACATACTTAACTGCTGACAGCATTTTTCCCAAAAAGCTGGTGAATAATAATTTAATGTTATAGTATCCTAAATAATAGTAATCACGTGTTATCAGTTCAAACATATCTAACTGCTGACAGCATTTTTCCCAAAAAAATGGTGAATAATAATTTAATGTTATAGTATCCTAAATAACAGTAATCACATGTGTTATATTCATTTTGCAGAAAAGGAGGCTGAGTCTTACAAGGTATAATTTTTTTTTGCCTCAAATCATAGAACATTACATCTTGAGCTAAGATTTTTATACCTTGTCAATTATTATTACCCCTATAATATACTCTGAGCAAAGGAGGATACTAAGTTTTAATATGTTCAATTTTAATTCATTTACTCATCAAATATTTGTTTAGCACTTTCTACCTCTGAGTATTTTTCTGATACATACCATCACATGATGACATATTTCATAAAACTCAGAAATCTGCACCATTAGCCTAGAATTAAGAAGAGCAGGTGTTACTATTAATATTGTACCTTCTTATTCAGCACTTACTATGTGTTATCGAATGTACTACTGGTATTAGACAACTTAACCCTCAAAATAAAATTACCTTATATAAATTTGAACCAGGGGTCTCAGAATTCAAGCCTCTGATTCCATTCATGACCTATTTTATAGTGGAGAAACTTAGAGCTAAAAAAAATGGTATCATTTTTGCAAGTCAAAACTTGAAAGAGTAAAGAATCAAACCCAAATTTTGTAGCTTCAGAACTTAGTATTTAATTTCAAAATGTTAGATTTAAAAACCCTCAAATATAGGACTAAAGACCAAATTATAAACAGTAGTAAAGAAAATAAAAAGCACTGCTATGATAAATAGATGTAAATACTTGTAATCTTTTATTGCAGTTGAATGAATAGATGAAGGAACCACTATATTCTTTGAACATGAATTTCATTATTGAAAAGCTAATTCAGAGTGGGGAAAGAACATTTTAGTTCACTCCCATTTTCTTGTTTTACTATTTCAGCCATAGTTCATTCATACCAGAATCAAGGTCATAAGCAATTTCTTCTAATAATGTATTCATTCAGGTATTTTGAAAAAAAGAAATCATAATACACAAAAATCCCGAAAATGAGAAGATTAACATCACTCACTTTTTTTGTTTTCATTCCCAAAGTTTAAAGAGCTCAGAGTCACTTGCAAAATGGAAACCAACTGCTTAAAATTTTGATGCCATCTTAAAGAGTTTCAAAGAAGATGCTAGGATTCAAAGCCTCCCTTTGAAGTAAAAAAAAAAAAAAAAAAAAAAAAAAAAAAAAAAAAACCCTCGAGAAGATTGGTTTTTGTCTTGCATTAGTGATCTTTCTTAAAAGTCACTAATGCCTAATTCTCTTTTCAGTCTAACATATAAGTGTGTGCTGCATACGGTTCAGAACCGTATCACGTGCAAACCCTCTTGTGGGGACTTTACCAAATGCCGTCAATCGCATTTGTGGGGGGAAAAAATTCGTAAACAGAAAGAAACTTGAAGATCATAACAAAAGTAGGATTATTTGAAAGTTATTGAGAAAGAGCTACCTCCTGATCTACTGAACATATTGATGAGGTGCTTCTTTGACTTTGTGCTCTTTCAGTGAAGAATCGGCATAGCTATTCCATTTTAATCTGATAGCCCCTTAAAGTTCAATGTTATAGTTACTAAAATATTTTCAAGCTCTACTATTTCAAATTATCCTGAAACCTCCTCTCATACACATGCTTAGTATAACTTCTAAACCCTGAATACGACATGTAAACTCCATTTTAATTTGACCCCTGTCTCCCTACCCTGTCTCACCCTTCACCACTTTCGTCTCCTTAAGTGTTCCCTTTCTCCAAGCTAAAGCTGTAACTGTTATTTGCAGATGAGGAAATGCATCAGCTCTATTACCCTCTTGCATGTATATATTTGCTCCTAGTGACTGTCCCTACACCTCTCCTTCCCTGACCAATTCTGACTCCTACTCCACAAAAGGATGAGATGCCTTTCTGAATGCCTTTATAGTAAGTACTCTTTGCATATCTCCATGTATGCTGTAGCCACTGTGCTGACCAATTTATGTGTATTCTCATATTTAATCTTCTGAACAACTCTAGGAATTTGGTACTGTTATTATCTCAATTTTTCAGACTTAGTAACTAAGTACATTTCCAAAGGACTGACAAGTATTAAGCATTAGATATTAAATTCAAACCCAGATCTGACTGATTCCAGATCCTTTGCTCTTAACAAGTATGCTATTCCTAAATGTCATTATAATGTGTTGTGATGCTGGCTGAAAATTCATTGCCCTCATCTTGAACACGATCATTCAACATATGTTCAATAAGACGTGTTCATTAGCACATTATGGAGAAAACTTTTCAAACACCTTGCTGAAAAAAAGACAGCTCATGCCAATAAAATTATTTTAGTCTACCAATAAAATGTTTTATTTTTTTTAAATTTTATTATTTATTTATTTATTTATTTTTTGAGACAGAGTCTCGCTCTGTTGCCCAGGCTGGAGTGCAGTGGCATGATCTCGGCTCACTGCAATCTGTGGCTCCCGGGTTCAAATGATGCTCCTGCCTCAGCCTCCCAAGTAGCTGAGATTACAGGTGCCCACCACCACGCCTGGCTACTTTTTGTATTTTCAGTAGAGATGGGTTTCGTCATGTTGGCCAGGTTGGTCTCGAACTCCTGACCTCAGGTGATCTGCCCGTCTCGGCCTCCCAAAGTGCTAGGATTACAGGTGTGAGCCACCACGCCCAGCCAATAAAATGTTTTTATATACTCCTTATGGTTCCTAATTAAGGCTTTCTTTTTGCTAAGAGATTAGTACCATTCAATTTAACAATGAAGAACAGAATTCTGCCAAATACCATCATCAAAGTTTGCAAGCTGTGGTTTCTACAGTTAACATTCTCGTCCTAACACCCTTCTATCTTCTAAAAACTAGATCGTTTTCTTCCTTCCTTCCTCCCTTTTCCCCTCTCCTCCTTCCTTCCCTCTCCCTTTTCATTTCTCTCTCCCTCTTGTATCTCTCTTAATTGGGTCCTTTACCTTTCTGACTTCTCATAATTCCTAATAGATAATGTTTCTGTCATCCTATCATGTTTTCAGTATCCTAGCATGAAATGTGTCTCTCTAATTTGAATAATTAATTCACATGTTACAGTTGGATGTGCTCTTGCATGTTTGTCCCAGTGGTAAGTTTGATTTTCTTCCTTTGTGTTACTTCTCTCTTTGTCATTTGCATACCACTTTTCTTGATGTAGAATGTAGCAATTGGAATTGAATAGTCTTGTTGTTTCTCCTCAGCTTCCTAAGAAGAAACTTAACCCTTTTTTACTTAGCTCCTTCTACACCCAAATAAAAAGTCATTTTAGTTGTAATTGGTATTTGGCAAGCTTTGTACCAATCTGTTTTGGGCACTTCTGATATCATTGTTTTAGTTCCCAATCATATAACTTATTCAAAGAGATTAATCCATTTAAAGGACCCAGTATCTCTCAACTATCTTGTTAGACACACAGACACATCATTTCAGGTCCTGGCTATAACACCCAGAGGTGGAGATGACTACTGATTTTTCAGACTTACCTTAAATATGCAGACTTTGTCCTGGAAGCACCAAAGACAATATGGCTACAAATTCACTTTATTACTGTTTTTGATGCCTTAGGCTTGATTCCTGAATTCTCATTTCATGCCAGAATTTATTTACCAACATAAACATGCACATCTCAAAGTCTTCTCTTTATCAGGAAAGAGAGCAGCAAACCAATCTATAGAGTTCCCATTGGCCTTAAAATCAGAACACATCAGGAGTGCCTTGTTAGATGAATTTAGCAGCAGGGAAGCCTGCAGCTCATCAGCTTTCTGTTTCTCAAAAGTAGGTACTTACTGCAGTCAAGAGGAATTATTCCTGAGGATTTCTGGTCATGGGGATGTTTTCATTACCTTTAAAAAATGTCAGAGTAAGACAAAAGAAAAGTCTTTATATTTGTTTTGCTCTACAGTATTTCATTTGATTTAAATGCTCATTGATCTACTCTCAGATTGTATTAATTAGTACGTGAAAATTATATGTTCAAATAAAATTCAAGTTAATCATACTTTTATTCATTCACTAAACCTACAAACATTGAGACAATCTACAGTGAACCCTATAAAAGACATGTAGGTTTCTGCCCTGAAGGAGGAGCCAACACAGTGATAAAGAAAGACATGTTAATGAAATATGATGAAGATTTTAATTGAAAGACTAGAGAAAGGACAGATGTGATCTTCCTAGAAGTGTTCAGGAAGACTTCATAGCAGAATGACATGGGAAAAGAGAAGGGAATTTACTGTGAGTGGGTACCTAAAACATTCTAGACCCTGAGTAAACACTAAACAAATGCCATCTTATTTAATCTTCAATATTCCTTTTATATGAACAATCTTTCCCCCATTTTTAGATGAGGATAAGTCTCAACTGTCCACATCTTGTGAGTGACAGAGGTGATACTCAAAATCTATCTGATTCCAAAGAAGGTGAATTTCCCTACATTATACTGCCTTTCAGGGATCATTTGAAATATGTGGTAAGGGATAACTGGACAATTTTTAAAAGAATATACCTCAAAGGAGTTTTCCAGACAATTCTACCCAGAGGGACCAACATGATAAAAAAGAATGTATGTAAAATATTACCAGAGAAAAATAACTGCTGAGGTGAAACATAAATAATGATAAATTTGCTCCCATCAAGATCTAAATGAGGAATAATTACCATTCTCTCTATGTTGTATACTTCTCCATAAATCCCCTTATCTATTTCAAATTTTAAAGACATATCTATCATCCTGATATTTCTAAGGATAAAAATAACAATAACAAATAATGGCACTTTTTTGCCCATCAGTGATAGACTGGTTAAAGAAAATGTGACACATATACACCGTGGAATACTATGCAGCCATAAAAAAGAATGAGTTCATGTCCTTTCCAGGGACATGGATGAAGCTGGAAACCATCATTCTCAGCAAACTAACACAGGAACAGAAAACCAAACACCACATGTTCTCACTCATAGGTGGGAGTTGAACATTGAGAACATGTGGGCAGAAGAAGGGGAACATCACACACTGGGACCTGTCAGGAGTGGGGGGCAAGGGGAGAGGGAGCATTAGAACAAATATCTAATGCATGTAGGGCTTAAAACCCAGATGATGGGTTGACAGGTGCAGCAAACCACCATGGCACATGTATACCTATGTAACAAACCTGCACGTTCTGCACATGTATCCCAGAATTTAAAGTGTAATAAAAAAAAGAAAAAAAATGGCATTTTTTAATGTGTCAGATACTCTCTAAAACCTGAACACATTAATTTCTTTATAAGCATCTTAATGAAGTATATATCATTATTTTTCCCATTTTAAAGATGAGAAAATTGATATATAGGAAATTAAGTAACTTACCCAGGGTTTTACAACTAGGAAGTAGTGGGATTGTGATTTGAATATAAACAATCTATTCTTTTTTTCTTTTTTTTTTTTTTGAGATGGAGTCTCGCTCTGTCACCCAGGCTGGAGTGCAGTGGCCAGATCTCCGCTCACTGCAAGCTCCGCCTCCCGGGTTCATGTACAATCTACTCTTATCCACTGCACAGTAATGCCTCCTCAGCTTTAATCAACAATTCAAGTGTCTTAAGATTAAAACAGTTATTCATATGAGAAAAAATTAAAATGGAACTATATATAAAAATGTGGAATGCTGTGTAGATATCAGAGTGACTTGGCTTTATCATCACTGATTCCATCAACTGTGAGAGTTCATTCAAACTACCTTTTGCTAAGCAAAAACCACTCATTAACTGCTCCATTTTTTTCTCTACTTGTACTTTTGTTTTATGGAATAATCTTTCAAGATTAAGATATTAGTTGTACTCACTAACTAGAAATAGTCAAAAGCCACTTATAGAAATATAATCAAATGACATGTCAGACAATAGAGCATCTCAACTCTTTAAGACCTTTCTTAATTTCTTTGAGTGAGATACACGTGAGTCATCAAAAATTAAATAGTCTAAGAGTCTGCTACTATTAAGGAGGAGTGAGCTCCTAATATCAAACTTCCTGCATTCCTGCATATAATAACCCTACATTTGAGGTGGGCGAGGGTGAGGAACAAAAGAGAAAAACAAACAAGCAGAAATAATCCAGACTCTGGAAAGTAAACAAAGCAGAGGTATTGGATAAGTGAGTTAAAATTTGGAGGAAGACACTGGCATGGAGTGCCTTGTTTTTTGTAGCTTTGCCCTGAGGGCAGCCATAATTCTACCCATGGAGGGGAGTGGCTAAAACTCTGATATAAAACTGACCCTTTTTTGGCTGGAGGAGCTAGAGAAAGGGACATGTGGCAACCAGAGCCATCAGAAAGTAAGGGGGACCTAAGAAATGAGAAAGCCAGTGATCAAAGCTGTCTCTGACCACAAGTGGGAAGTTTAAGTCCAATGAAGTTAATTGCTTTTCAAAACAAAACAGTAGCATTCTTTGAAGAAATACAACAGAATCCAGAGACTGTAAAACATAACATGCTAAACATCCAGGACACCATGTATAATTACTCTATACCCACAAAGCTAGGAAAATGTGACAATCTCAAGCAAAAAGAAAATAAGTAAAAGCCAATTCCAAGATGATCCAAATGTTGAAATCATCAGGCAAAAACAGCTCAGCAACTATTATAAATGTGCTCATTGAGGTAGAAGAAAATATGCCTGTGATGGATGAAAGAAAACTTTAGCACAGAAATACAAAACATAAAAATAAACCTAATGAAATGTTATAACTGAAAAAATATATCTACCTCAACAATAGGAAAACATATAACCTTAATAGAAAATGGTCAAACACCTAAACTGACTCCTAGCCACAGAAGGAGTCAAGAAGATATACAGACAGCAGGCAAATAAGCATATAAAAAGAGAGTTCACATCATGTGTAATCAGAGAAATGCAAATTAAAACAAAGAGATACCATTACAAAACTGTTAGAATGGCCACAATTCGGAACACTGACAACACCAAATGCTGACAAGGATGCAGAGCAACAGGAACTCTATTTCATTACTAGTGTGAATGCGAAATGATATGGCTATTTTGGAAGACACTTTCCCAGAAAACTAAACATACTTTTACCATACAATCAAGCAATCACACTTTTTGGTATTTACCCAAACAAACTAAAAATTTATGTCCACATAAAAGCCTGAACATATGTGTTTAAAGCAGCTTTATTCATAATTACCAAAACCTGGAAATAGCCAAGATGTCCTTCAGAAGATGAGTGGATAAATGAACCAGTACATTGAGACAATGAAATGTTATTCAGCACTAAAAAGAAATGATATATCAAGCCATGAAAAGACACAAAACCTTAATGCATATTACTAAGCAAAAGAAGACAATCTAGAAAGGCTTCCATCAATGTGATTCCAGCTATATTACATTCTGAAAAGGACAAAACCATGAAAACTGAAAAAGATTAGTGGTTACTAAGGGTTAGGCAGGAAAGGGGAATCAGTATGCAGAGCATAAAAGATTTTTAGGACAGTGAAGTTATTCTATATGACACTATAACTTGGAAACATGTCATTATACATTCTTTAAAACCCATAGAATGCATTACATCAAGAGGGAACCCTGATGTAAGCTATGGACTTTGGGTGATGATGTGTCACTCAATGTAGATTTATCAACTGTAACAAATGTACTACTCAGGTGCAGGGTGCTGATAGTGTGGGAAGCTATGAGCGTGTAGGGGTAGGAAGTATATGGAAACTATATATTTCTTCTCAAATTTTATCTGAACCTAAATCTGCTCCAAAAAACATATTGAGTAGGAAAAATTATACAATATCAAATAAAAAATTTACTGCATGCTCTAATACAAGAATGCAGAGACAAAAAAGAACTAGTGATCTTGAAGATAGATTATAGAAATGATCCAGTCTAAAGAAGAGATTTAAAATAAAAACAAAAATGTATAACATATTGGTAATTGGAGTTACAGAAGAAGAGGAGAGAGAGAACAATGCAGAAAATATTTGAAGAAACAAAGGCTGAAAATTCAAATTTGGTAAAAGACATAAATTTCCAGATTCAAGCTCAGAGTTCCCACAAAAGAAAAATTGTACCTAGACACACTATGTCAGACTCTTGAAACTAAATATAATGAAAATTATCTTGAAAGCAATGAAATTAACATGACACATTACATACAGGGAGATACCAATTCAATGACTACTGATTTCTCATCAGAAGCTGTGGAGGGCAGAAAAGTGCCAAAGAAGGAAAAAAAAATAAAAAGCTCAAAGGGGAATTTTGCATCTAGCAAAAATAGCTTTCAAGAACAAAGACTAAATGCAGACATTATGAGATAAAAAAAATTGAAGAGAGTATGTGGGGCCCAGACCTACACTAAGAGAAATGCTGAAGGAGTTTCTTAAGGTTGAAGGGAGGTAATATCAAAAGAAAAGTGGATCTTCAGGAATAAGTAAAGAACAGTAGAAATGGTAAGTATCTGGTAGAATATAAGTGATTACTTTTTCACTTTTTAAAAAATATATGACTATTTGAAATAAAAATTATAGTGTTTGGTGGAGTTTATAATATATGTAGCTGCAATTCATATGACAGTGATAGCATGTAGGACAGTACAGGAGAAGATAAATGTACTTATATGGTTGTAAAATTTCTTTTATGTAAAGTAGCAAATAATACTTTGAAATAAAGTTTAAAAATTTATGAATATATATTTTAAATTCTAGTAAAACCCCTAAAATGGAGAGTTATGGGTAAAAAGCCAAAAGTTAAATTATATGAAATTATAAAGGTATTCAAATGATCCAAAGAAAGAGCAAAGAAAAAAAGACCAAAAAAGAGAAAACAAAGCAAATAATAAAATGGTAAACATCAATCCAGCCATATTAACAACTGCATTAAATAATAACATATCCTTAAAAATGTTAATCAATTACAAATAACAAAACTTTACAGTGGAAAAACCCAGCAAACACTAAGCTAATCAAGTGATCAAGTTAATATTACAACATCATGTACCCCTGATACCTGCAAAGAACAAGTCAATCTTTTTGTCCAAAATACATAACCTCAATTTAATAATGAGGAAACATCAGACAAATCCAAATTGAGGGGCTCTTGCAAAAGAGTTCATTAATACTCATCAAAATTAATAGGCCATGAGAAACAAGGAAAGACTACAAAACTCACTGACTGGAGTACACAAAAGGAATTAACAACTAAATTTAATGAAGGATTACTGACCAAATCCTGGAACAAAAAAACACAACCAGCAATAAAGCTTCTGAGACCGAATAAAGTTTACAGGTTAGTTGAGTGTTATATCAATGTTAGTTTCTTAGTTTTTATAATATTATGTATACATATGTTAACATTAGTGGAATCCAGGTGAAGACTACATGGGAAATCATTGAACTACTTTTCCCATTTTTAAATTAAAATTATTTAGAAATAAAAAATTTTAAAGTATTAATGGACTAAACACTCTAATTAAAAAGCAGATATTATCAGAATGAATAAAAAAGCAACAATATGCTGCTTACAAAAGACACACTTTAAAGTTTTGTGTGTTATTTAAAGAATAAGTGGATTTTTTAAAAAGATACACATGCAAATAATGAATATTAAAAGGCAGAAAAATCTTTATCAATATTAGATAAATTTACAAAGTATTAACAAAGATAAAGAGAAATATTTCATAATGATAAAAATAATTTCAATGACTGTAATTGTTTATTACTAACATAAACTCAAAATAATTAAATTTATCCACATCTCAGTACACAATGTTAATATATAAAACTCAATTGTATTTTAATATACTGCCAATGAATCATTGGAAAATAAAATTTAAAAAATTATTTACAATCACATGAAATATAATTAGCAATAATTAGAAATAATTCTAACAAAATATGTACACTATCTCTTCACTCAAAACTATGGAACATTGCTGAGAGAAATTATACAATATCTGAATAAAATAAGAGAGAAACTATGTTCATGGATTAAAAAAACTCAGTATTTTTAAGATATCAGTTCTCCATAAATTGATCTACAGTTAAACATTAAGCCAGTGAAAATTACAATAGGTTGTTTAGTAGAAACTAAGAAGGTCATTATAAAGTTTATGTGGAAATGCAAACAGCCTGCAATAGCCAAAACAATTTTTTTAAAAGAAGAAAATTGGAGGATTTATTTGACTGATTTCACGGCTCACTGCAAAGCTACAATAAACAAGACAGTGTGATATTGGCAAGAGAATAGTTTTTTTTTTGTTTTTTTTGTTTTTTTTTTTTAAGGAAAGGTTGGGAAGGGAATGAGGGATAAAAGACCACAAATTGGGTACAGTGTATACTTCTCGGGCTACGGGTGCACCAAAATCTCACAAATCACCACTGAAGAACTTACTCATGTAACCAAACACTACCTGTTCCCCAATAACCTATGGAAATAAAAAAATAAGTAACTAAAAAAAAGAAGTATTTGTTTTAAAAAAGAAGATAATAGAGCAGCAGTTCTCAAATTCTGTTCCAGGACTGAATTAAAACTATTTTTCTAATAATGGTAAGATACTAATCGCCTTTTCACTCTCACACTCTCACAAGTTTACAGTGGAGTTTTCCAGAAGGTAAATGATCTGTAAAATCTCAACAGATTTAATGTAGAAACAGACATTAAAGTATTTTTTAGTGTACAACAATGCTCTTTTTCTCATTAACTTTTCATTCTGAAATATATAAATATTTTTACAAAGTTATGTTTTTTATGTTAACATGTATTGGGCTTATTATTGATTTCCATGCAAATTAATAGATATTTATTATTGAGCTCTCATGGAGATGTACAAGGAGGTTAAAGTTGTGTTCATGCCTACTAACACAACATCCACTCTGCAACCCATGGATCAAGAAGGAGTCATTTCAACTTTCAAGTATTACTGTTTAGGAAAGACATTTCATAGAGCTATAGCTGCCACAGATACTGATTCTTCTGATGGATCTAGCCAAAGTAAATTGAAAACCTCTGGAAAGAATTCACCATTCTAGGTGCTATTAAGAACATTCATGATTTATGAATGGAAGTGAAAACATCAATATTAGCTGGACTTTGAAAGAAGTTGACAGCAATCCCCATGGATGACTTTGAAGAGTTCAAGAATTAAGTGGAGGAAGTAACTGCCAATGTGGTAGAAATGGCAAGATAACTAGAATTAGAAATGAAATCTGAAGGTGAGACTGAATTGCTGCAATCTCATGATAAAACTTTAAAAGATTAGGTGTTGCTTTTTAATGGAGGAGCAAAGAAAATGGTTTCTTAAGATGGAATCTACTTTTGGTGAAGATGCTGTGGACATTGTGGAAATCAAAACAAAGAATTTAGAATATTCCATAAACTTGGTTGATAAAGCAATGGCAGGGTTTGAGAGGACTGACTCCAATTTTGAAAAAAATTCTTCTCTGGGTAAAATGCTATCAAACAACATCACATGCTACAGAACAATCTTCTGTGATAGAAAGAGCGAATAAATGCTGCAAACTTCTTTATTGTCTTGTTTTAAAGAAGTTGCCATAGTCATGCCAGCCTTCAGCAACTACTACCCTGATCAGTTAGCAGCCATCCATCAACATTAAGGCATGATCCTCCACCAGCAAAAAGATTATGACTTGTTGAAGACTCATAATCATTAGCATTTTGAGCAATAAAATATTTTAAATTAAGATATGTACATTGATTTTTTAGACATAATGTTATTGCACACTTAATAGACTATAATATAGTGTAAGCCTAACTTCTATGTGCACTGGGAAACCAAAAAAACATCATTGACTCACTTTGTTGCGTATCTGCTTTTGTGAGGTGGTCTGGAACTCAACCTGTAATATCTGAGGTATGCCTGTAATTTTGAATGGATCATAGACCTGAACATAAAAAAACAACAATAAAAATTCTAGAAGCAAGCATTTTAAAGATATGTGACATCTGGGGAGGCAAAGATATCTTAGGGAGGACACAGAGAACACAAATCATAAAATAAAAAAATGATAAACTTTATTAAAATTAAAAAGTGTTGCTCTTTGAAAACTACTTTTACAAAAATAAAAAGGCAAGTCACAGAATGGAAGAAAATTATGCAATACATATATTTGACATGGAACTTATATCCAGATTACAAAAAAATTTACAACTCAATAATAAGATAACAACTCAATAAAAATAAGCAAAATATTTAATAATACTTTACAAATGAAAATATTGAGTAATTAAGAAGTGCAAGAAAAAATGCTCACCATCATTATTCATCAGAGAAAGGCAAATTAAAGCTGACCTACCACTTTACACGCATGAAAATGGCTAAATTCAAAATTTACTCAAAATCCCAAGTGTTGGTAAGGATATGCAGCAACTAGAACTCTACACTAGTGATGGGAGTTTAATGTGGCATAACCCACTTTGGAAAAATGTTTGTCAGTTTCTTGGAGTTCAACATATTCATACCATTTGACCCAGTTATTCCACTCAGGTATTTTCACAAAGAAATAAAAACATGTTTACACGAAGTCTTATGCACAAATATTAGTGGCATCTTTATTAAAAATATTCAAAAACCGCAAACAACCCAGTTGTCAATCAACAGCTGAGTGGTTAGGCAAAATGTGATTTCAAACAATGAAATACTACTCAGCAATAAAAAAGAAAGGAACTATTTATATATACAAGCGATTGAATCAATCCCAAATCACTATCTTCGGTGAAAAAGCCAAAGGGTGTATATTGCATGAATCCACTTACATAAAATTATTTGAAGTGCTAACTAATCTACAGGGATAAAAGAAAAAAATAAAAACAATGCTTGCCTGGAGCAGTGGGTAGCAAAAGAAATATTCTGCAATGGGACAACAGGATACAAGGAACCGCAGGGGGATAATGAAAATGTTCTGTACTTGACTATGGAGGTGAGTTCTTGGGTGTGTACCACTGTCAAAACTGATAAATTAGATGCAGTGTATTGCATGTAAAATTGACATAAATTCCAAAAAATTAAACAATTTATAAGTGTGACATCTAAATAAATTCTAAACTAACATTTATTTGTACATACACATTGTTTAAAGCTACATATGCATGCCATCAGTCAATTTACTCATTCAACACATGAGTCTTATGTGGAATGTATTGAAAGAAAAATAAAATCTGGACAATTTATATTCTAAAACTGGGAAGAATGACACAGACAAGATGAGGCCTTATTAAGGCAGTATGTTGAGAGAGGATAGCTTATCCTATTATTTTTCTATGCAATGCTAGGACTGTAATTATAATTATCTAATGGTCTCCACCAAGTTCAGATACTTCTGGGTTTTTTTTAACCATTCTTAATAGATTATGTTAATTCAGAACTACACAATGTAGAAAAGTGGATTAGTTGAGAATTTTTTTAAAAAGTCAGTCACATTGTGAAATGAATTAAGTACATTTACCTAAGAGTCAACTCAGGCAACACCTATATATATGTATCTATATATCTATAATAAGAAACAATCTTCATAAAAAGAATTTATAAGCCAATCAATCAATCATTAATGTATTAGAAGAAAGTCTCTCTCCCTTTTCTCTTTAGAGTCAACTCAGGCAACACCTATATATATATATCTATAATAAGAAACAATCTTCATAAAAAGAATTTATAAGCCGATCAATCAATCATTAATGTATTAGAAGAAAGTCTCTCTCCCTTTTCTCTTTAGTTTATCATTCTGTTATTTTGCCTAGATCTTGCTTGGTGGTTGAACCACTCATAAGAGAAAGTATCAGTCTACAGACAATATTTTACTCACAGCAGCATGAATAGGGTAGAATATCAGAATTTTCTTGGACAGTGTCGAAGGGGTCACCAGGATGAGAAAAGTCCATCAGGGGTCACTACTATGAGAAAAGAACATCAGTGATGAAAGAATGAGAACAGACGCCAGTGGTCTGGCCTGTGTATTGAGTGAAAGGTAGATGAACAAAATCAATTCAGCATCTAACCCTCAAAGAATAATCACTGGGACACCTTTTTACAGAGATCCAACTGCTCATACTATGGGCCACGTAGCTCAAGGAAAATGCCATATTAGAGTGGGGAACCTGATTCTCCTTTGTTTTTGCATATCCTTTTTGGTATTCCTTGCTATGTATGGCCCCAGTAAATGAGTTCTTCTGTTTAACCAAGTATTACATAAATTGCAGAGACATTTTACTTTGCAGTTCCTCAAAGTTCAACTAAGTCTTAATCAATTAAAATGTTTAGTTCTCACTACTGCTATTTTTATTCACCTTTTTTTTCTTTTTTTTTTTGTATTATACTTTAAATTCTGGGATACACGTGCAGTATGTGCAGGTTTGTTACATAGGTATACACATGCCATGGTGGTTTTCTGCAACCATCAACCCAACATCCACATTAGGCATTTCTCCTAATGCTATCCCTCCCCTAGACCCCCAACCCCAACCGGTCCCAGTGTGTGATGTTCCCCTTCCTGTGTCCATGTGTTCTTTGTTCAACTCCCACTTATGAGTGAGAATATGCGGTTTTTGATTTTCTGTTCCTGTGTTAATTTGCTGAGAATGATGGTTTCCAGCTTCATCCATGTCCCTGCAAAGGACATGAACTCATCCTTTTTTATGGCTATATAGTATTCCATAGTGTATATGTGCCACACTTTCTTTATCCTGTCTATCATTGATGGGCATTTGGGTTGCTTCCCAGTCTTTGCAATTGTGAATAGTGCTGCAGTAAACATACGTGTGCATGTGTCTTTATAGTACAATGATTTATAATCCTTTGGGTATATACCCAGTAATGGGATTTCTGGGTCAAATGGTATTTCTGGTTCTAGATCCTTGAGGAATCACCACACTGTCTTCCACAATGGTTGAACTAATTTACACTCCCACCAACAGTGTAAAAGCGTTCCTATTTCTCCACATCCTCTCCAGCATCTGTTGTTTCCTAACTTTTTAATGATCACCACTCTAACTGGCGTGAGATGGTATCTCATTGTGGTTTTGATTTGCATTTCTCTAATGATGAGTGATGATGAACTTTTTTTTCATGTTTGTTGGCCACATAAATGTCTTCTTTTGAGAAGTGTCTGTTCATATCCTTCACTCACTTTTTGATGGGGTTGCTTGTTTGTTTCTTGTAAATTTGTTTAAGTTCCTTGTTTGTTTCTTGTAAATTTGTTTAAGTTCCTTGTAGCCTCTGGATATTAGCCCTTTGTCAGATGGATAGATTGCAAAAATTTTCTCCAATTATTTGGGCTGCCTGTTAACTCTGGTGATAGTTTCTTTAGCTGTGCAGAAGCTCTTTAGTTTAATTGGATCCCATTTGTCAACTTTGGCTTGTGTTGCCATTGCTTTTACCATTTTAGTCATGAAGTTTTTGCCCATGCGTATGTCCTGAATAGTATGGCCTAGGTTTTCTTCTAGGGTTTTTATAGTTTTAGGCTTTACATTTAAGTATTTAATCCATCTTGAGTTAATTTTTGTATAAGGTGTAAGGAAGGAGTTCAGTTTCAGTTTTCTGCATATGTCTACCCATTCTTCCCAACACCATTTATTCAATAGAGAATCCTTACCCCATTGCTTTTGTCAGGTTTGTCAAATATCAGATGGTTGTACACGTGCGGCATTATTTCTGAGTCCTCTGTTCTGTTCCACTGGTCTATATATCTGTTTTGGTACCAGTACCATGCTGTTTTGGTTACTATAGTCTTGTAGTATAGTTTGAAGTCAGGTAGTGTCATGCCTCCAGCTTTGTTCTTTTTGCTTAGGATTGTCTTGGCTATATGGGTTCTTTTTTGGTTCCATATGAAATATAAAGTAGTTTTTTTCTAATTCTGTGAAGAAAGTCAATGGTAGCCTGATGGGGATAGCATTGAATCTATAAATTACTTTGGGTAGTATGGCCATTTTCATGATACTGATTCTTTCTATCCATGAGCATGGTATGTTTTTCCATTTGTTTGTGTCCTCTCTTATTTCCTTGAGCTGTGGTTTGTAGTTCTCCTTGAAGAGGTCTTTCACATCCCTTGTAAGTTGTATTCCTAGGTATTTTATTCTCTTTGTAGCAATTGTGAATGGGAGTTCACTCAGGATTTTTGGTGTATAGGAATGCTTGTGATTTTTGCACATTGATTTTGTATCCTGAGACTTTGTTGAAATTGCTCATCAGCTTAAGGAGATTTTGAGCTGAGATGATGGGGTTTTCTAAATATACAACCACAACATCTGCAAACAGAGACAATTTGACTCCCTCTCTTCCTATTTGAGTACCCTTTATTTCTTTCTCTTGCCTGATTGCCCTGGTCAGAACTTCCAATACCATTTTGAATAAGAGTGGTGAGAGAGGGCATCCTTGTCGTGTGCTGGTTTTCAAAAGGAATGCTTCCAGCTTTTGCCCATTCAGTTTGATATTGGTTGTGGGTTTGTAATAAATAGCTCCTATTATTTTGAGACACATTCCACCAATACCTAGTTTATTGAGAATTTTTAGCATGAAAGGGTGTTGAATTTTACCCAAGGAGTTTTCTGAATCTATTGAGATAATCATGTGGTTTTTGTCATTGGTTCTGTTTATATGACGGATTAAGTTTATTGATTTGTGTATGTTGAACCAGACTTGCATCCTAGGGATGAAGCTGACTTGATCATGGTGGATAAGCTTTATGATGAGCTGCTGGACTTGGTTTGCCAGTATTTTAGTGAGGATTTTTGCATTGATATTCATCAGGGATACTGGCATGAAATTTTCCTTTTTTGTTGTGTCTCTGCCAGGTTTTGGTATCAGGATAATGCTGGCCTCATAAAATGAGTTAGGGAGGAGTCCCTCTTTTTCTATTGTTTGGAATAATTTCAGAAGGAATGGTTCCAGCTCCTCTTTGTACCTCTGGTAGAATTAGGCTGTGAATCCATCTGGTCCTGGGCATTTTTTAGTTAGTAGACTATTAATTACTGCCTCAATTTCAGAACTTGTTATTGGTCTATTCAGGGATTTGACATCTATTAACCTTAAATGTAAATGGACTAAGTGCTCCATTTAAAAGACACAGACTGGATAAAGAGTCAAGACCCATCAGTGTGCTGTATTCCAGAGACCCAGTTCACGTGCAAAGACACACATAGGCTCAAAATAAAGGGATGGAGGAAGATTTACCAAGCAATTGGAGAGCAAAAAAAAAAGCAAGGGTTGCAATTCTCGTCTCTGATAAAACAGACTTTAAACCAACCAACATCAAAAAGGACAAAGAAGGGCGTTACATAATGGTAAAGGGATCAATGCAACAAGAAGAGCTAACTATTCTAAATATATATACATCCAATACAGGAGCACCCAGATTCATAAAGCAAGCTCTTAGAGACCTACAAAGAGTAGTAGACTTCCACACAATAATAGTGGGAGACTTTAACACCCCACTGTTAATATTAGACAGATCAACAAGACAGAAAATTAACAAGGATATTCAGGACTTGAACTCAGCTCTGGACCAAGCAGACCTAATACACATCTACAGAACTCTCCACCCCAAATCAACAGAATATACATTCTTCTCAGCACCACGTCGCACTTATTCTAAAATTGACGACATAATTGGAAGTAAAACACTCCTCAGCAAATGCAGAAGAACGGAAATCATAACAAACAGTCTCTCAGACCACAGTGCAATCAAATTAGAACTCAGGATTAAGAAACTCACTCAAAACTGCACAACTACATGGAAACTGAACAACCTGCTCCCGAATGACTATGGGTATATAATGCAATTAAGGCAGAAATAAGTTAGTTCTTTGAAATCAATGAGAACAAAGACACAATGTACCAGGATCTCTGGGACACAGCAAAAGCAGTGTTAAGAGAGAAATGTATAGCACTAAATGCCCACAGGAGAAAGCAGGAAAGATCTAAAATTGACACCCTAAGATCAGAATTAAAAGAACTAGAGAAGTAAGAGCAAACAAATTCAAAAGCTAGCAGAAGACAAGAGAATAACTAAGATCAGAGCAGAACTGAAGGAGATAGAGATAGGAAAAACCCTTGAAAAAATCAATGAATCCAGGAGCTGGTTTTTTGAAAAGATTAACAAAATAGATAGACCATTAGCCAGACTAGCAAAGAAGAAAAGAGAGAAGAATCAAATAGACACAATAAAAAAAAGATAAAGGGGAGATCATCACTGATCCCACAGAAATACAATCTACCATCAGAGAATACTGTAAACACCTCTACACAAATAAACTAGAAAATCTAGGAGAAATGGATAAATTCCCGGACATATACACCCTCCCAAGACTAAACCAGGAAGAAGTTTATTCACCTATTAAACATGTCCAATTTGTCTCTTTAGTAGAAGGGACAAGAAAGTCAGTTTAACTTTGTCAGCTCTGCAAGTCTGAATTGACCGGAGTAAGAAATTGCTGCCAAGAGCAGTGGATGTCTCCATATTCAGAGCTGTGCACAAGAAATAAAGAGTGGAGTAGAGAGGGCTGTCTGGCCAGGCACAGTGGCTCATGCCTGTAATCCCAGCACTTTGAGAGGCCGAGGTAGGTGGATCACCTGAGGTCAGGGGTTTGAAATCAGCCTGGCCAACATGGTGAAATACAAAATTAGCTGGGAGTGGTGGTGCATGCCTGTAATCCCAGCTAGTTGGGAGGGTGAGGCAGGAGAATAGCTTGAACCTGCTAGGCAGAGGTTGCAGTGAGCTGAGATCACACCACTGCACTCTAGCCTGGGCAACAAGAGTGAAACTCCATCTCAAAGAAAAAAAAGAAAAAGACCAGGAAAGAGAGTACAACTAGGTCATCATAACAAGAAAGAGGTCCATAAACAGAAAGGAGCTGGAATCCAAAGCCATTGGATCTGAATATCTGAGATTAGGTAGTGGGTCATTTCAGTACAGTGTCAGATTAGTACCTGAAATTGGATTTGTCACCTCCTGCATGAGGCAAGACAGTGTGTCAGGGACACTAAAAGAGCCGGCAGTAGAAATCACTGCAATATTGAAAATTATGGAGATCTTATTCCCTTCAGTGTACATTCTGCAAATGTCAGCTATACCCACTGCTTTCTCTTTTTTGCCCTCTGTCTACCTGCCCTGAACATCACTGACAGTTAAAGATGAAAGGTGTAGAGATTTATCTGGCTTTTAGCTGGGGAAAGGAAAATCTCCAGGCCAAGAATTATTTGGAAATGCCTCCCCCACAGTATGAGTATATTTAACTCCACAATACTACCATGCTGTTACCTGTTACATCAATCATCCTCCATAGCTACAGTAAAACATGGTTGTGTATTTTATTAACTCGTATCTTTTTTGTGTAGACTTCACCATAATTTGGTGACGCTCTGCCAGTGTTAACACATTGCTCCTTAAAATGTCCTGAAAAATTATTTTCGTAATATGAACTCCCTTACCCAAGTTTAAAGACCCTGAGTGTCTGGTTTCGTTATTGGAGTTCTGATCATTAGTATAATCATTTAGTATGAGGAACAAGGTATAGCTAAAATTTTTCTTCTCATGCTTCAGTTTTTCTCTTACCCATATTCAAAGCATCCTATTCAAAGCATAAAGTAGAGGCAATAATAAAATAATAGAGTTTTTTTTCCCAGGAATTGAGTTCTCATCTCTGAATGGTTGACAAGTGACTTTGGGAAAATGGCTTGGCCTCTTTCTGTATCCTTACGTTAACTGGAGGTAATAATATCCAATCTACCTATTTCACAGTATTCATATGAAGATATCAGAAAGTAGAGATGAACATACTTTGAAAACCTGAAAATATGAGAATAAGATATTATAAAATAAAATGTAAAATTATAACACAGTGAATTTGATAGAGTTCATATTACCTGAATCATTAGCAAGGTAAATACATGTATTGCTCAGGTTTAACTTATTCTAAAATTACTTAGGAGATAGTATATGTCCTCTGATTATTTTTGACATTATTTTTTAAAGGATACTCTCCAAAATGTAATAACTTATCTCAAGTATGATTATTCCTTACACGGAGTAGAAAATAATTCATATTTATCTCAACTGCTAAAAATTTTATTAATTTTTAACACAGTGTACCAAAACAAAACATCCTGGTTTGTAAAAACCGAGGTATATTTAAATACAGGGATCTAAACTATAAGAGTTACCAGTTCATGCTACTTGGCTGAGATTTCTGCCATTATCTAGTAAGCCAGTCCTGTAAAGATCATGTCACTCTTGTGTCACTATCTTAGAGGATTGAGACAGATAGAATTATTTAAATCGATATAATTACTGCACTAGGGTTCAAAGAAAGCGTGTCTTGTGCCTCTCAGGACATGTACTCAGAGGGTGTCTGAGGAAGAGATGAAGTTTGGTCAGCCTTGCTGACAGGCTACACTTTGGTTGACTCTTTAATCAGTGTTTTTGTTTTGCATTTTCTTTGATTGATTTAAGGAGGAAGAGAGGAAAGAGAAAGACATCTTTTTCTTCTTTGTGTGTGTGTCTGTGTGTGTGTGTGGTTCTCACACCTGTTGCCCAGGCTGGAGTGCAGTAGGGCACCATCTCAGCTTTCTGCAACCTCCACTTCCCTGGCTCAGGTGATTCTCCTACCTCAGCCTCCCGAGTAGTTGGTACTATAAGCATGCACCACCACACCTGGTTAATTTTTTGTATTTTTGGTAGAGACAGGGTTTCACCATGTTGCCAGGCTGGGTTTTTGTTCTTTGCATCAACAATTTGTTTATGAATAATTTAGTAGAAATAATATTCTGTGATTAGTTTTATCCCATGTATGATTTTAGTATTTTTATTTTCTGTGAATATTTGAATAAAAACATCCCATGTAAACCTTCATTCTACTTTTTTCTCTCTTCTACACTCTCTTCCTTTTTTCCTACCCCAATCATGTTAGGGCAGCATCATGGGTTGAGAGCAGTACTGCTGTTAGCCTGGAAGCCCCTGGATGAGTTCTGATGTATGTGTTCTTGGGAAAGTCATTGATCCTTTATGGGTGAAAAATGATGTTGCATGGGCCAATGTCAAAGGTCCTCTGTAGTTCTAAACAGAGTCAACTTATTTTTTAAAAATCAATCCATGTAATGATTCTCTTTTGGAAATATCACCTATTCCTCTGATTGGGTCAATTAACAGTCCTCCAGTAAAGATTTTGTGTGTCTCAAGAAATGTAGTCAAAATACAGCTGAGTGTCCATGGAAGGCTTAGACAAAGAAAAACTGAAAATTCAAAACTTATGAGGAAAAACACTTACTAATGGCATGCAAATTGATACAAAATCACTTGATTGAGATGAAAAGCTCATTATCTTTTTTCAAACATTAAATGTGCAAGAATCTGATTGGTGATTTATTATCAAGAAGCTGAGGCTCAATGTATATAATATTTATCTTTACAATAATATTTTGGGGACTCCAATAAGTCATCAAATGCAACCCACAATATATTTTAGAATTCCATCATTAGCTCACTGAATAATATTTTTTGTAATTTAGCTTAACAAGCACATTTGTGAAGTATCATGTAGCCTTCCAATGCTCCAAATAAAAGAACCCTTTTAAGGTAGATTTTCTGGGTTGTGAAGGCTCTCCATGTGGCTCCCCGACAGATTATAGGGCTTCTTTATAGGTTAAAATGTGCAGTTATCTTGATATCTGCAAAAGTAAAATATCACATATCACAGTACTCTAGGTACACTGTCACCGTCTCCTGGTTGCCTTTGCCCTGCTTTCCATTTATTTATCTCTGCCTTTCTAGAGCTCTTGAACTTGAAAAAGGTTAGACAGCACACCGCTGGAGCAGTTTGTGAGCATCAGCAGATTTAGCTTGTAATTTCATTGATCTATATGGGCTCACTGTTTGCAAACCAGCTGCCGCACTGTTTCCCTACAGCTACTGATCTCAGTAGCATTGATTTTTTCCCCCTTTACATTAACATAGCATTACTCCTTTAATGGGCAATAAATGACTGGATGTAAATACAATCAGGGCTGCAACAACAAAAGGAAACCATCAGACTCATTTTTATTTAAGATACTCTTTCCATTAATATTTGCCATAAAATTATAACGCAAATTATTGACAAAAGTAATGCAATTTTGATTTTAGTCCATTTTGTTCATTTGTAGATATGTGGTGTCTGCCAAGTGGTCTTCTCTTCCTAATGCATTAGGCAAAGCAGTACAATAATGGTGCTTTTATGGATACTGTAAATTTGCACCATTACCTTAGTACAACTCAATTCTATTCATGAAAGAAAGTAGAAAGCAGTACAAAGGTTTACACTTAGCTTCACCTATGCTGATAATGAAGGTGTCTCAGATTGTGTCAGCTGGCTAAACGGCACCATTAAAATCTTGGTTGATTTCAATAAAATTAGAAAAATATTGACTAATCTCTGATATTAAAGAACCCAATCTATATCACATTAAGATGTAACCCTTAGCTGTATGTTTAAAGTGAGTGTCTGTGTGTGTATGCAGGGCAAACACAATTTAGAAATTATTTCTCAGAGTTCCTTTCTGGAGTTTTGATAACTGTGGGAGAGGATATAAAAAGCATGCATTTTAAAGTTAATTACACATAGATATGTTCTAGGTGGTGAAGGACATGAAAAGAGCCTAAAAGCAGATAACTTCTGGTGATCAATTTAGTTACTTTAAAGAAGCAAATCACTGTTAAGCCCAACCGATAATTTCAATTGTAACAAAGCAAAGTCAACAATATATTGTATTTCATAAACTATAGAATTTTGACTTGTTTCCATTTCTACTGACAATATAGAAATAATCTCTCATATCCAACACGATCTCTAGTACTAAGTCTAATGTTTCATTTTTTTGTTTGTTTTGAGATGAGCAAAAATCTTTCGGCAGCAACTTTCTCAGATCTTTTACTCCAGGATGCTGACAAGTATGATTTTGAATTTTTAAGAAAATTGTTCTAAATCGAAAGCCTTCTAAAAAAATCACCTACGTTTAGCCACACCTTTATACATTTTTATTTACTTTCTCAATATTCTTCTATGAGTTTCCAAATTTCACTGAGGTTCAGGTGCTATTACATCTCAAATAAGTGAAAATAACCATTTATTTTCAGCAATAATTTTTATTGGTGCTTTGTTCATTGGTTTTCTTTTTTAAAAATTACGTGTTACAGAAGGATGATGAGTATTGATCTGAAGTAAGATTCACCAGAATCAATGATAGAGATGGCAAAAAAATCTAAAACATCCTCAGTACCTTCCAATGTAATTCTTACATTTAAATGGTTTTATTACTGTTTTATTGTTGTCGCTGTTACTTACAAAAACATTTCTCATCTCTTTCACTCTAATGTCTTTTTCCAAAATTATGTCATTGTCTATAGCTCTCATCAGCAGTCTGACCCATCTCCAAACATAAGACTTGTAAATGACTTTGGCATGAACAGTACATTATTTTTATGCTATTTATGGTCCAAAGTCTCACTTGTAAACAATAAGCTACTGCCGAGGGCCTGTCATTGTCTATGGGTGATTCTGCTACCTGCAATACTTCTGCACTTCCTGCAATACTCATCTGTTCTGCTGCCTTCCATGTGCCAATAAATTTTAAAGGATTTATTTATTTACTGTAAATGAATCAAATTCTCCTCATTTCTCTCTTGATGGTGAAAAGAAAATAAGGAGAGTGAGATTTTCTCTCTTTCAGTTCTATGACTCCAGATTTAGAAGGCAAAGGAATACTTAGGAAAATGAAATCCCTTTGTAATAATTTGTGGAGGTAGGGAATAAACAAAAATGTTTTATGTAAATGCTGTTTCCTTCTTAGAATTTTATATAATCCAAATTTTATATATTTATATATATATCCAAGTTTATTTCTATTATCTTTATGAAAATAAATTCTAGCCCGAATTCTAGGTGATCCAGTAAAGTGTCCAGAAAGTTTTTAATATTTCAAATATAGTAACTATAAATTTTCTTATTCAGTTAACATGTAAAGCTATTTAAGACCACACTGAATTGTTTGTTACAACTTTATTTCTCTTCAATATGTGAGATGATTATTTCCAAACTGCAATACCATAAATACAAAATTATATAGAATCTTTAAGAAACTAGGCTTTCTGGATTAACTTATATAAGAAACCTACTAGTTACCAGAAACTATTCACTTAACACTAGTTGCAAGTTAGAAATGATCAAGATGTGCCCCCAGCCTCAGCTTACAGTCTACAGAGTTACATATGGATATACAACTCAATCTATTTTTTTTTTTTGTATAAAACTTCCTAGAACTGACGAGATACTTCTTTCTTTATTGATTATAGCAGACAATGGTCGATGGCCCCCACATCATGGACACACAGAAAAACTACATCTCTCAGGTCCCTTGTAGCTAGCTGGGGACATGAATAATGAAGTGTTGCCAGAAATGATGGGTTTTGCTTCTAGGCATGACTTCTAAAATATCTCATGCAATCCTCCATGGAACCTCTCTTCCATCACCCATTAAGTAAACAAATGAAGAGGAACTATCACAGAGTTCCAAGAATACTCCATGGTGTGACATGCCAAAAGAAAGTGGTATGGATGAAGAGCTTCCAGGAGAACCTGCTGGCCCACATCGTCATGAGTGGGAAAAAATATTTTGTCATGTTAAGACTCTGAGATTTTAGGTTTGTGTGTTCCAACAGCTAGCATTTACTACTCTGACTCTTAGTAATTCTCAAAGATCATTTTGTAACTCATTGTCCTGTTTTGTAATATTAATACAAAGGCATACCTAAGCTTTAACAAGGAATGCAGGGCTTTGGGTCCTTAAGTTAAAGAAGACTCAGATTTCTTGCTTTTATGAATTAACTTATTTCCTCTTGTAGATTTCTCCCGACCATATTTTCCTAGGTGTACAGCAGGGGTGTCATTCTTCATTGAAAATCATGTAGCTGTCTCTGGCTTTAATATTGTGGATCTAAAATCTATATAATTAAGCTGAAAATTATTAGCTACCATTTATATAACACCAAGTACCAGGCAAAACTTTAATCACATGCAAACTTCATTAAAACGCTGTAAGGTAGATATTATCATACTTATTTTATATCTGAGGAGATGGAGATTTACTGAATTGAAATAAATTACCAAATGAGTAAATTCTAGCACAAGTATTTGACCCTAAGTCTGTGAATGCTCAAACTATTAATTATCTTAAGCATGTGTAGTTAAGTAGTATCTTTTATTAGAATGGCTCAAATAATAGCATGTGACAGGATATTATCTTATGAAGTTTATATTGCCCTCTGATAGCGCTCTTCACTTTCGTAGGGTATATTTTATTTCTTGACTATGTTCTTGATAGATTATAGTTCCAGCAAGATGAGATGTATTTCCTTATAACAGATTTGTAATAATGTCTTATCTAATATACATGGCTATAATATTTTATATTTTAAAATTTTTATTATAGAAAATTTTAAATATAAACAGAAGTAAAGAATATATGTAACCCCAAATATCAACTATACCGTTTTAGCAATTATCAGATAATGGCCAATCTTGTTTTATCAAGCCCCCCACACTCCCCAGATTACTCTGAAGCAAATCCCCAACATCAAAATTATTTCATTTGTAAGCAGAATAGATACTATCTTTTAGATAATCATTTCTAAAGGATACAATTCTTAAAAATATATAATTGCAGTGTTATAATCATACCTCAAAGATATTAAAATAATTTGTGTAGAAATTCTTAAAATATATTATTCATGTAATTACAAAATAACATATATTGCATGTATGTTGTGTTCCAGGCCTATCTTCAGATGTTCACATCTTTGAATTCTGGTCAACACATTTAGACAGGTTTGATTCTGTACTCAAATTACACACCTAATTCTTTTTTTGTTGTTGTTCCGAGCAGCCTCCAGGCTGGCTATTACTTAAAAGTTTGTGTTTGTTTGTTTTAATTGTTGTGAATTTTTCATCCATGCCATTAAACATTTACACTTCAAATTATTATCAACAACATTCCTATTTTACAGTTATGTACAACTTGCTTGTTTACAATCTCTGTACTACCCATGATGCAACAGAATTAACTAACTACAAGTTATTAGATTTTTCCTATTAATGTTAATGTTCTAGGAGTAAAAACTAGGAGTTAAAAGATAACTACTAATTGCCAGAATTCAATGAAGTGCCTTAATAATTCCTTGAAAGCATGGCCTTGCTTTTGAACAGGAAGTTACAATTCTTAATCTGTTTCTGGCATCCTGACTCTGACTTGTGTATCATTTTCTGCATCTGTGCCTCACTATCCTTGTTGTTAAAAGAGGAATAACAAGATAATAATACACATGCTTGTGTGCTACACAGAAATCTTGTGAAAATTAATACTCAAAAAGGACTTCAGAGCTTAGTGAGACAAGGCACTTTAGAATGTAAACACCATGCAATTATTCTTATTACTGTGAGCTAGAAAAATGCTCACAAGAAATAGCATGATTATTGTGGCATGCATTAAGCCAAATAAGAAAGCAGGCTACTGGGGAATCCCATCGAAGATAAAAATTACTTTGACCAATCCTTCCTTCCCTCCAGCCACTGAAATAAATTATTTTTATAGCCATGTTAAAATGGTACCCTAACTTCCTTTCATTTTGCTTAAAATCTGTGACACAGGAATTGTGCTTAAATGAAATTTCCATCAGCTTTTACATATTAAGCAAGTGCATTTTAATGCACATATTGAACATTAAATCATTTTTCGCTGCAGGTTATTGCAAGTAAATAGTAATTGTAAAATAGATTCTTTTTGATGAAACAAAATGAAAATAGACTGCTAAATGTTCACCTCAGATTTTCTCATCATTTCATTAACAGTTCAACTAGGAAAGGTACTTTTATAATGATGGACAGGAAAATCATACTCATCTATTTGCATCCATATGCATATATTGGTACACTGACTCTGTTGCCTTAAAATAACAGAACAGAAATACATGAAATGCTTATGCTTCTTAAAATGATTTGTAAGAACTATTTTATTTAACAATTATCTTTTTATTCACAATATTCAAACACCAGATTAATTAAGAAATGTAACCAAATTTAAATAAGAATCAATTTCCACTTCCACAGTCATCTTGTCTTTCTAGGAAACAGGAAATAGAAAAATAAAAATTAGTAAAACAGGTTAGATTCTTAGTGGACTAGCCACGAACTTCTGTCCTATTTTGTGTCAATGGTAAACTCAAACCCTTTCCATCCCCATTTACTTTTTGTATCTTTATAAAATATTTTTCTGTAGGTTCAACTATTTTACATTTCCACATATAGCTTGCCCCAAAACCTAAATTAAAGTAATTATGCACTTTAAGACACTGGGAAAACTGTAAAGATTCAGACTGTTTTATACAAGAATAATAAAACAGCAATGCCTTAAAAGGACACTTTCAGCTGTTGCAGACAGGGAGCAGAGAATGCTACTGCTGAGCTTGCATTGCCACCTATGGTTGCTATCTGACAGTTCCCAAGGAAAAGAAACGTGCTCTGTCCTCTGGGTGTACAGTGGCACCTGGGCACTATGCTTCTAGCTTTAGCTCAGTTTAGAATAAACACCTTACAGCATGCGAGCATTGATTCAAATCCTAAATTTGGGAAATATATATACTTGATTTAAATTCTCATGAATGCAGTAAATTAACAACATTTCGCAAACTTCATCACTTTAATACATATTGTCAGCCTTACACAAATTCTCAAATTATGGTAGTCAACATTCCTTTAAATAACAAGCATTTTGATACTTACTTTCAATTATGGAGATCTCTGAGGAAAACACTCCTGTTTGCTGACCTCAAATTTTACCACTTGTCAATTTGGTATCTAGAGCTAGCATTATGATGCAACTTACATTGTACACACTCTTATGTTTTCACTTCCGAGCTACATGGTAAGCTTGATGGGAGCAGAAGCTGCTCCTCATGTCATTGCACACCCACACACTGATGGCAGAGTGCTGGGCTCAGAGAAGCAGCTCTATCAAGTTGAGCTTATTGATATGTCCTGTTGACTTTATCTTACGACTAATTGTCTTAGGTCCAGTTCCCTAGGAGCAGGGCCTGAGAAAATAGATTAAATGCACATGATGTACTGAGAACGTGATCTTCAAGCAAAGGTTCTGAAGGGGGGAGAAAAACAGGGTAGGAACAACTGAGCAAAGATGTGACCTCAGGCCAAATCTAGCATTGGCGTGCTCCTCAACGTGGATGGAAGCGGGTGTCTGAAGCATAAACTGTGCCACACAAATGCCTCTCCTTGAGGCTGGAGGGCCAGCCAGTTGTACCCCTTATTATTCAGTCTTAACAATGGCCACCCCTGGATGGTGAGAGCTGTATAACCTCCTAGGTGAGGCAACTCCCTCAGCTGAGGGCAAATCTCCAGAGAAGGAGACAGCAGTGAGCTGCGGGTAGCCCCACTCCCCGCAGCTAGGGGACAATAAAAGGGGCCTAGTAAAGGGGATCTGGGCAGAAAACCTATAGCATCCACTCAAATGCACTTGTTTCTTACATCAACTTTACTCTATCCAAGCACAGATTCTCCAGGCTACTGTAGTTACAATTCTTGAGGAAACTTACTAGTTTCTGCATCGGTTCTGTGGAAAAAACTGATACCCATCATCTCCTTCCATCATCGAACATATGTTCCTCTCTCTCTCTCTCTAGCAAGTCCACTAGCTGAGGTAGCTTACCTCATGGTGTAACACATAGACTTATTCCTGAGGATTGAGCTCCCATTCTGATGCCCTTACTAGGAAGGTCATTGTTGCTGTACCATTCACAGGTACAAATGAGCATAGGAAGATCCAGAGACGGTTCCCTACCCTGCCCAATGGATCAGCTGAGCGTCAAACAAGTTCTTCCCTCCTCCCTAGCTTTCCTAACTCCCAAAAAGGAAAGGGTGGATTATTCCTAAATTGTGTTTGATGGTCTACCGGCACACACTGCCTAAAGCTACCAAGTGGCATGTGTACCTTTATAAGTACAGTAGTAGGAATTTTAGTGTACAGCTTTCCACAGCTGGAAATAACCCACTCTAAAAACACAGATGTCTAGACTCAGAGGGCTTAAGGTTTCAGGATCAGGAAGCACAAATTCTCCAAGTGATTACTGGAAAGTGATGGTGAATGGAGCCACTCCCACTTTCACACTTCGTTCCCAAACCGCATATATTATTAGTTTGCTGGGGCTGTCATAACAAAATACCACAGACTAGCTGGCTTAACTAACAGAAATTTATTTATTTTCTCACGGTTCTGAAGAAGAAAAGTCCAAGATCAAGATGGTTGCAGGATTGGTTTCTCCTGACATCTCTTTCTTTGATTTGCAGATGGCCGTTTTCTCTCCATATACTCACATGGCCTCTCCTTTGAGTATACGCATCCTTGATATCCCTTCCTTTCCTTATAATGACACTACTCATATTGGATTATAGCTTTGTGTAACCCTACTTACCTAAGTAAAAGCCATATATCAAAATATAGTCACATTAGGGGTTAGGGCTTCAAGATATAAAAGGGGGGGAACACACAATTAAGTCCATAACACTATAGATTATACCTTTTGCTAACATAGCACCATGCAATTGATATGGTGTAAGAAGTAAACTACATTCTAAAGAATAATGTCCCATCTTTTCAAAGTGTCACGTGCAAACTGGTGCTTAATCTGCATCTTTTAAAGGTCACTCAAGCATTCTGCAAGGATAGCACTGGATGCCGTAGTTGATGAGACCAGTAGGCCCTGCTATGGTTTGCATGCAGTTTGTTTGTCCCCATCAAAACTCATGTTAAAATTGCATCCCCAATGTGCTGGGGTTGGGACTAGCTGGGGGTGTTTGAGTCATGAAGGTATGTACCTCATGAAAGGGCTGGTGTTGTTCTCATGGTAGTGAGCAAGTTCACATTCTAGCAAGATGGAATTAGTTCTCATGGGACTGGATTAGTTCCCATCAGAGTGGGCTATTATAAAGATAATTATAAAGCTTGGTGTGGTGGTGCAACTCCAAGATGAATAGCTGATGCATTACACTTCCACTCAGGTGTGGCCTTAAGAACAACAGTGAAGGAAGGATATCAACCAATAGGCAGAGCTTTGAGGAGATCTCCTAGTTATTAACTTGTGTAAAGAGGAAAATGGTTTGAGGTAGTAACATTTATCAATGTTTGGTCCTTCTTCACATGTGCATATTCTTCTTTGACCTTCTGCAACATGTTTTGATGCAGCACAAAAGCCATGTTTTGTGTACAGCCTATAGGACCGTGAGCCAAATAAACCTCTTTTCTTTATCAACTATCCAGCCTTAGGTATTATGTTATAGCAACACAAAATAGACTAAGGCAGTCCCCATAGTCATGTGCCCACTTCTCTATCTCCTTTGCCAAGAAAAGATTGTTCTGGTCTGAGATGTTATTATGCAGAATATCATATCAGCAAATCAAACACTCCACAAGTCCATGAAAAATTGTATTTGTCAAAGTCCTATAGGAAAGAAAAGTGAACCCATATGTGTTAATCCTGGTTAGGATAAATTCTGCCCTTTTCAAAATGGAAAGGGTCCTACAAAATCAAACTTGCACCAAGTGGCAGATTGAGCTCTTTGGGGAATACTCACATGCAGGACACTTAGCATTAGTTTCTATTGCTGACGAGTTGGGCATTCAGCAGTAGTGACTGGCTACACAGGCCTTGGTAAGATGGAGCCCATATTCTTAGGCATATACATACAGTCCATATCTGTCCCATGGCTTCTCCATTCATACACCCATGGTGCCATTATTGTCATAGTCAAGGGCAGGAGCTAAAAACAATCAGCCAAGTCATCCTGTCTATTTGGTTATTTAGCACCTCTCCTACAATGAGTCTGCTCTAGCATGCAATGAGAAGAGCTTCATGCTTCCTTTCCACATCCATAGATCCACCTACATGTCTCCTCTTAAACCTCTTGGACCCTGATCTCACAATATTGCTCCTTCCAGATCCCTTGACTAAAGGCTAGATTATTTGTTACTATCGATAAATCCATAAATGTTGTTATCTCAAACCATTTCTTTCTTTATGCAAGTTAATAATTTAAAGCTCTTCCTATTGGTTAGTTTCCTTCCTTCATCATTTTGTTTCAAAGCTACACCTGAATGGAAGTGTAATGCATCAGCTATTTATCTTAGGATCATACCGTGGTAGCAAGCCACTTTATCTGTGAACCAAGCTCAAGTTTTATCCCCCTCTGTCACCTGGTCACAGGAAATCTCCTTGAGGCCTGTCACAGGTTAGGTTCCCATAAGAGTTGGCTCAGTTATGGAATTTAGAACACAGAGTGTTTATTAAGGAGTCCTCTTGAGAGCAACACTTGTAGAAGGGAGAAGAAGGAAGAAGGATTGGGGAGAATAATTCAAGCTCTAATTCAGTCTTGTCCAACTCCATGGGGATTTCCAGATAAATGTCTCCGTAGATAGCTAAAAAGGCCCTGCAGAATTATCTTGCATTCGACCAAAGTAACCAGGCATTTGTACTTGCATCGATCCATAAAGGGAGTGACCATGAGACAGGCAGCTCTCTGTAGCCGAGGCAATCCCTGAAATATATGAGAGCTGGAGAGTACCTTACAATGGTATCCAATTCTGTATAGTGTTTTCTTCTATCTAGTTCCAGCCTACAAAGTATAGCCAATATGAGCTTCTAAATAATGATGATGTCTCCTTCATAAATGTATTATACACTAGATTCTTCTAAGAAAGTTAATCAGCAAGCAGGTCTTCAAGATTTATACAATAAATCCTTTCTAGAATGCCCACTTTGCTGAGCCTTTGGTCATTTCCACCAGTCTGTCACAGTAATCTAGCATCTCTACTATATTAAATGTAAGCCATTGCTTTTCAAGCTTCCAAGATACTCCCAAGGAGTGTCTTAGAACTACTGTTGGTTGTTAAATTTTGTATCACAGGAGGGTCCCCCTATATTAGCATACTCTCCCTTATTTAACTTTATATTCTACCCCACAATCCTTATCCAACACCTTTAGAATCCACTCTCAAGAATGCTTTCTTAGTTACTGCTGTACTTGTTAGCTATTCTTGCAACTCTGAGCATATAATCCATCCCCTCCTTTAGGAAGCTCCACATTTTTTCAACTGTGTTAGGCTAAGATAGTGATCCTAGTTGCTGTTTATGTGACCAAGAAGGGAGTAGGAGGCAGATCCAGAAGTACTTAGTAACATCCTGTAAAGCATCTGCCTGCCTCATGTGAGTTTTCTCACAGTCTTCAACCAAGAGGTGGCAGAGGCATTATCTTTCAACAAGGGGGACCACTGTACAAACCCAAAAGTTCCAGGGGAATCTGGGAGTCCAAGGATTACATGTACAGCAGATCCTCAAATAACATTGTTTCATTCGATGTCATTGTATTGTAACATTGATAAGAAAAGCAATCCATTCTGGCATTCTGGCCAGAGCCACTGTTTGTGTAGTTTGTACACTGTCTCCATGTCTGCATGGATTTCCTCTAGATACTCCAATTTCCTCCAACAACCCAAAGATGTACACATGAGGTGAAGTGGAATGTCCACGTTGTCGCAGTCTGAGTGTGCATGGGTGTATGTGTGAGTATGCCCTGCAATGATGGGATGGAGCCCTGTCCAGGGCTGGTTCTTACTTCTGCCCTCAACTGCCATCATAGGCTCCTAACACACTTGACCCTGAACTGGAACAAGTGGGTTGGAAAATAAATGAATGAATGGAACACAAATTACTATCAAATAAAAATTCTTCAAGTCTATGATAATCACACAAATGCACAACAATAAATGATGCAGGGAGAAAGTGCCCATTGAGCCCACAATATTTATTTGCATTTGAACTGTGTGCTGGCAAGAGGTGCTCTTACAATTTTTGCTTTGCAAACATTTATTCCTTCATTTAACCCACCTGCACCATGATCACCATCACTCACTGATTCACCAAAAAAAAATGGGTAAAGAATTATCTTATGTGTTTTTATTAATCTTTCTTAAGTGTGTGTACTGCTCACACTTAAGTCAGTGTTTAATATTAGGAGTGTTTGGGGTCTTTATTTAGAAGTTTGGTGATTTTTTTTTGACCAGAAATATTCCATAGGAACTTAACTCTTGTTTATATAAATTAGTCTATGGTAAATTTTGTTTCATTATGTGTCATTTTATTCAAAATCACCATTTCCAAAAAAATATCAATAACATTAAGTGAAGATTTACTCTATATATACCCAGATAACCCTATCCCAAGTTTCAGTGCCCTTTTCTTTACTTTTCAGGACTCTGAGTTTGGCATATAAGACTTTCCATGGCTGGGAATTATGCTTTCTCTTTAGTTCTGTGACTTTTATAATTAAGTCCTATGCCTGTTCTTCAGTTCATCTGCCCTCCAGCTGTAGGAACTGAAGGTCTGTTTACAAGCTGCCAAAGAGGCCCTCTGACTTTCATACTTGGCTTTAAATTGGTGATTGATTGCCCTGAGCCTGTTATTTCATCTCTTTGAAACATCAATGGCATTCAGAAATAGCCTCTGAATTCCACAGACCTTCAAATTTATATTTCTCTTGTACCTCTCCAACACCAGAGATTTTGCACAAACCAGTGCATCTTCTTCTGCCCATATCCCATCCAAGTTGACCTCAGTGATAACCTTAGCAATTGCACTGTGGCTGCATGTCAGAAGCTACCACCAGTGATAAGTCATTGGTATAAGCCAGCTCTCAAGTTTCTAACTTCAGGATGCCATTCTTGAGGTCTGCTTTCTAAGACCACTTTTGATAGAATTTTAAGCCAGTTTCCCTAGAAACAAAGCCTGATCCAGGGTTTTTAGAGCTTTATTGAGGAAGATGTTTTCAGGAGTGCCTCTAAGAGTGAGCATAAAGCAGGATAGGGAAGAAGAAAGAGGTGATCAAGAATGTGGTCTCGGGTAAAGTGTAGTCTTGGGCTGATCCATTTGTATTGTAGGGAGTCTGAAATATAAATCCCACTGGAGTGTTGTTCCCTTTTGAGGCAAGAAAGCTAGACTTCTATAGCCCTGTATATTCCAGGCATTGTTTACATACCATTCCTGAAGGAGGAAAGAAGTGTCACAGCCTCCTTGGCTAGTTTGCTCCTAATAGCTAAGGGCAATTTTTAGGGCGCAGTGGGTGGAGAGATGAGGAGTTAGGAGGTGGGTGGATGGGAGCTCTGATACATTTGCAAACAGCATTGCCAGCAGCTGAGGAATAAGTGCAACAACCCAGGAAGGGGGACCTAGGCAAGACACCACAGCTTCTACTGAGCTCGAACAATCACTGACCCTAGCATCAGGAAAATCATTTAATTGGTGATCCCAGATAGTTTTTTAAAAACAGATTCATCCAGAATCTGTTTGGGCATAGAAAAATGGTAGATATACAAATGTCCACATAACCAAAGATCTATGAAGCAGCTCCATACTATAACATGGAAGAATCAGAATATCTGTACAGAGGAATTCATCAGATGATATCAAACTTGGGACTAGAAGTTGACCCCACATGACATTCTGCTGGAGAGGACATGTAGGACAAATTCATTCGCCTGCCAGCACAACTCTCTTCTCTCATTCAAGAATGGCTGCCAGCCAGCAGCAACTGAAATTCTATCCAAACACAGAGAAAGAACTTTTAAGGTAACAAAATCAGAAAGTCAAGCTCTTAAAAAAATTGATTATAATATTTGTTTCATCCAAGAAGACAGTTAAAAAAAGGTTCTTTTGAAAACATCAATAAATCGTTAGTATCTAAAAGAGCAAAGGACCTTATTACAACATCACAATCCTATCCACAGGGTAATTCAATTACTGAGTCTGTTCTACACCAAGCGAAGTCAAGAGAGCATGTTCCCAAAATATTATTACCTTTTCTTTATACACATTTGCATCTCTGTCTAGTGTTCCAGTCCTTACACCAACCCAGGAGTTTGGTGGTTCTTTGGCATGATTAAAATGTGAAACACCTCCATCAGCAACATCCCATGATGCCAGCCCATGTTTAACAAGGATATTAAATATTTTCATCTTCTTCCTCCCCATTAAACCTTAAAGGGTCAACATTCCATTTCAATAATGATTGAGTCTACACATCCCTGTAAAATATCACTGACATGATGAAAAAATTAAAAAGCAAATTTAAAAATGAAAAAATACAAAAACAACTTTTAAAAAATACTTGGTATTGCTAAAATACAGAAGCTGTCAATGGTCAAGAAACATTAATTTTTCTTTTCTGGAAGTTGTGAAGGAGAATGACTTAGATTAAAAGAAAAACTGATTGTTGTTGACTGGCCTGTTATTCAACATTAACAAAGGAGAAGAACTTACAAACTGAGTAGTTAGGTTTCCCCAACAGAACTCAGAAAATCCCCAAGGTCTACACAGTACGACATAAAGCAAAGACAGTTCCTAGAGGAGGCTGTCTCCCAGAAGGGTGGCCCATTGTTTATTTTTACTTCATCTGATGCACAGTTTGTATGAAGCTTGTATTTTACCTTGGTGTTCTTCAATAAGAGAAGCTGGGTGAGTAAAGAGGGAATGTGGGATTTACAATACCCCAGCTAACTTTAGACCACTTCAATAAATCCAAAAGGAAAGAAAAAATAAATAAAGCCTAGGTAGAACTGTGACTTTCTCTCACACGTGAATTGTCACAATTTCCCTCTTTTGTCCATTCCTACTGGAGACTGCACCTTTGCACTGTTTTGACATCCCCAAGTTCCACCAGCAGGAATTGGAGAAGAGAATATGTTAAGGAATACATGTTGAGAGAAAAATCAAAGGTCATAGAAACTACTTGAATACCATCAATAAATAATTTTTAAAATATAGAATATTAAACAATTATAAAAAGAAATGAATTAATACAAATTAACTAAGATAGAAAAATCACCAATGTATTAAGAAAAAAAAAAGAACAGGTAGGAAAGAGTATCTGCAGCATGGTTACATTTTTATTTGAAAACTTTAAACATGTTTACTAAATATAATGTATAGTATAGATGTAACATATAATTCAGGAATGGAACAATATGTAACAAAATGTTCATAGTAATTATATACAAGTGGTAAGATCATAGGGAATATTTTTACTCTTTATATTTTTCTCTATTGTCTAAATATTTACTTTTTTAATCAGAAAAAAAATCAATACAAATGTTTCTCTTCTTGGTGGCAGCTTACCATATGGAACTGATAAAAATGTTGATGTTACAATGTATGCATGTGGACTCTCTTCAGTATGTGTTCTTTTTCTGTTGTCTTTACAAGACAATACCTTACGTAGAAGTTGAGAATCCAATAGAAGGAAATTCTGAGCATTAGGCAAGGCAGGATTTTGCTTCACTCTTGAAACAAATGGCTCCCCATTCAGACTATATATTGGTGTACTTCTGGCAAAAGCACATATCCAAGGACAACGTCAGTGTAATGGTCCTACTTGTTTTATGTGACTGTGTTAAAGCAATTTACATTTTGAAGTTTGGTTACTTGGTTATTTACATAGCACAAACTTCAGACTTCTATTTCTGGTAATGGTAGATTAAATAATTCCTACTAACACTCCTGCTAAAGACACTAAAAAAACTGGATAAATATTCAAATACTTGAATGCTTTGGAGAGCTCTGAAGGCCAAGATCTGGGAGAAGCTGAAACCTAGACAAGTAAGCTTGGCAATTGAGCCTACTTTTTCCTTAGGGACATCTGCGGTTCCTGAAAATTTGGCTGAAAGTCTAAGGAGATGAGCAGCTCTTTTGATAGGAGTCAGGGTGAATTACAAGTAGCTTGCTCTCTCGGGGACTGATGCCCAACTTTGAATCATCTTGATCCTTGAGCTTGGGTTAAGGCGATCCCAGATTGCAAGTTTCTCTGGCTGCCTGACAGAAGCAAAGGTAAGTCCTCTCTGAAAAAATATAGTCTCATCCTATGCTTCACATAACTTTAAAATTTTTCATCTGCAATAATTTCTTTTGGTATTTCTTGTAGCATGAATCTTTGGTATTTCTTGTAGCATGAATCTTTGGTATTTCCTGCAGTATAAATCTGCTGATGATGAAGGCTTTCAGTTTTTCTTTGATTGAAAATAAATTCATGTCACCTTCATCCCTAAAAGATACTATTTCCCTGGAATAGAATTCCAGGCTGTTCATAATTGCATCTCAACATCTCAAAGAGATAATTACACTATTTTTTGGTTTCCATTGTTTGTACTATAGCATCACCAGTGCTCAAATTTCTAGGTATCTTGAACTCTGAAATCTATCTATAATATTTTCAGTAAGTCAACAATAAATGGATTAATTAGGCTTCTATAATAGGTCTCTATTCAATGCCTCTACTGTCTCAATATCCACTTATTTATCAGTCCACTACAGAGTAGCTTCTATCCCTAACTTCTGGAACTGTCCTCATTAAGAACAACAGCATCTTTGCTACTTTTTTTTTTTATGCAGCAATGTTATTTTGTTGTTTGCTCAAAAGGATTGCCCATAGTCAACGACATTTTATGTTGGATTCTTCAATGGCATATTCTCTTAGTTTTTATTTCTGTATGTATATTCCTTCTGTCTCAACTTTTCAGACTCATCTTCCCCTTGCAGCCACTTTGGCCGTATTCACGAGCCTTTTATTTCTTCAATGCCCCCA
The DNA here is from genome assembly GCF_000001405.40 of Homo sapiens. Taxonomy (NCBI): domain Eukaryota; kingdom Metazoa; phylum Chordata; class Mammalia; order Primates; family Hominidae; genus Homo; species Homo sapiens. Next base: position 97,716,346 of record NC_000006.12, on the reverse strand, counting down.
CAGTCTTTGCAATCTTTTGGTCCTTTGTATAGTATCTTCCTTACTAAACCATCCACTCCTCCTATCTTGTAAATTACTTTGTCAAGGTAAGTTATATTTATTTTGAATCTCAGATTAAATGCCCTTTCCTCTGGGGGGGAAAAAAAAGCCTTTCCTACACTCCCAACAGTAGTTTAAGAGCTTCTGTTCTTTTTGCTGTCAACCACATGGTTGTAGAAGTTATTTTTACCATTAATTGTTGGTTTAATTATATTATTTCTCACTAGGATATCAGCTTTATGAGGGTAGGGACATCTTGTTTTTGGTTGAGTCTCCAGGGTCTAGCACATAGCCTAGACTCCACTAGGCACTCAGTAAATACTTAATAAATGAATAAGTCTGTCCTATTCTCCCCTTTTTCCATCAACCATGGTAGTGCCTATATTCAGCTTTCATTACAGAATTTCTGCAATAGCCTCCAGACACATGTCCATATCTTTTCCTCTCTCACATTTCAACCTACACACTGTTTTCATATCAATATAGTCTACTTGGCTTTTATATACTGTTGTTCCTCCTCTCTTTTACAAAACACATATGTCTGGACAATCTTATTCAATAACCATCTATACATTTACTAATGTACCTCCAAATATACAAATAAATACAAACAGAAACACACATATATATATGTGCTTGTGTGTATATATGTATATACAAATACACACATGCACACCTTCTAATTAATGTTATAGCTACATATTATGTATTGAGATTCATAGGCTTGAATATAACAGGTAAGCACTTAAAATATGGAAGATAATGAGTTACATTGTGGGCAGCATGCTGTAGTTATATATTTGTAGCAGAATTATGAATTTATGTTATGTTTGTTATATTACAAATCTGTGTTTATAACACAATGCCCACATTATAATATTATTTTCCTTATTTCTAAGTTTCTCTCTGTTATCTTCAATTCTGTGGGTCTCAATGCCTGAAAACATGGATAATGATATAACTTCCCATTCTAATTATGAAATGTTTAAGTATCTTTCTTTCCTCTTAATTTCAGTTATTTCACAGAAATATTGGTTACTCTGTCAAACACATAATTAATTAACTCTACCACACCACTAAACTTTCCCTCATCTTTAAGATACTGCATCACTGTTCGGAACTATATTCCCCCAGAATTTGCATGTTGAAGCCCTTATACTCAGTATGACTGTATTTGAAGACAGGGCTCTTAAAAGCCCTTCAATTACTTTTAAAGAGATAATTAAGATTAAATGAGGTCATAAAGGTGGAGCTCTAATCCAATACAATGGGTGTCCTTATAAGAAGAGGAAGAGATACCAGAGCTGTGTGCACACAGGGGAGTGGCCATGTGAGGACACAGTGTGAGGGCAGCCATCTGCAAGCCAGGGAGAGGCTCAGAAGAAACCAACCCTACCAGCACCTTAATCTTGGACATTCAGCCTCCAGACTGGAAGGAAATAAATTTCTGTTTTTTAAGCAACTCTGACTCTGGTATCCTGTTAAGACACCCCTAGCTGACTGATACCATCACCCTCCATGTCACCAAACATCTCCATCATTCTGAACATGTCCTTCTCCCTAAACACCTGTATCAGATTTAGCTAAGACTCTTCCTCCCAAATATGATTTAATATTATATTTTTGTCTTTATCTTCACTGTAGTTACTTAGGTCCCAATTTCTTCATCTTCCTGAACTATAGTTGTGTTGTGTCTGTTCTCTTTTGCCTCCCATCTTTGTCCCCTTTTTCCTTTCCTCAACCTACTACCTAAATCATCTTTCTACATAACAAAAGTGATTGCATCACATCCCTCTTAAAAACCTCTAATCTGCATGAACTATAAGACAAAGGGCAAATGCCTTTTTTGGGGATACATGGTCCCATGGACCTGGGCTCAACTGAACTGTCTAGCCTTTTCTCCATCACTGTTCCTCCAGCCTCCAGCCACACAAATAAAGGCTGCAGCGTAACTCAATTTCTATCTTGGACTGTTATGTTTTCTGACTTCTCTCTTGATTCAGTGAAGCCTTTAAAACACATCTGGGCAGAATAAGCATTCCCTGCATTGTCACCATCACATTTTTTTTTTTTTTAATAAATAACTCTGTGGTACATTCATAAAATGAAGTGAGTATGTTTACATGACTATTGCGCTAGATTATGAGTCTTTTGAGAAAATGAAGAGCATGTAATTTATGTTTGTATTTTGCATGCTTAGCATTGGGCATGACCATAGTACTTGACAAACAAGAGTTTCATAAATGAATGGACAAAATAATAAATTAATGGTATTCAAACATAACTCAAATTTTCCGCTTAAAATTCTTTTAAAAATCTATTGGTAGCCTAAGCAACATAGTGAGATTCCATCTCTTCGAAAAATAAATTAAAGAAATAAGATGGATATGGTGACATACAGAAAGCTAAGACGGGAGGATTGCTTGGGCCCAAGAGGTCGGGGCTGCAGTGAGCCATGATCACGCCACTGCACTCCAGCCCGGGTGACAGAACAAGACCCTGTCTCGAAAAAAAAAAAATCTCTTGGTATAGAATGAAGTTTGGACTTCTCAGTCAAACATTCAAGACACTTTCCTCTGGACAAAAATATTTTTCTCATTGCCATGCTTCTGTTTGCAGTGTTTCCACGTTTAGTCTTAGTTCAAATATTATCTCCCACAAGCTAAAAATGATTTTGTTTAATTGTGTGTTCTTAATAGAATGGCTTTCTGCCTAGTAATATAGTTTTTTATTAGTATGTGCTAATATCGCTTTTAGACTTTAAGCTTTTTAAAGTAAAAATCCATATCCATATCTGATTTGCCTTTAAAGATTTAATACCTAGTCCTGTTCATGTAGCAGACACCCAATAAAAACACTGTGACATCTACTTTATGAATGCTCACTGAGTATACCTATTGGCTCAAACATTTTGTTCATGAGTCTTCAAAAAAGTTTATACATACACCCACGATGTGTGTATATTTATTTATTTATAAATGAAACATGTACAGATATACTATAATTTCAATAGATTCAAAAATTTTAAATTTTAAAAGATAAAAAAATAAATGGAAGTTCTCATGTTTTTCCCCACATACCAATGCACCTGTTTGTATAAACTATTGTGGGGTAAGCCCTTCTTTGGAGACCAGTGACATAGACATGATTCCCATTATATTATAACAAATAATTATTAATAATCTGTACTATTACTGCTTTAGTTATCTAGTGTTATTGAGAAAGGAGAAGTCAGCATAGTTTATTTTCCATGTAATAAAAGCTTAACACATTATAGGTAGGAACAAAATCTGGCTAGCTATCAAGTTATGCACTGAATGCTTACCACATGTCAAACACAGGGTGACAGGTGCTTTGTCTCCATAATCTCATTTAATTCTAAGAACAATCCTGCGAAGTAACTTTCATAATACTTACTTCATAGATTTTTAGAAAGATTAAAATGTTAATGACGGCACAGTCGGGAGTTACAGACTCAGGATTTGAATTTACACTCGTGTAACCCTAAAGCCTACATTTTTTCTAATAAACCAGGTGATAGCAACATTTATTTTAATTTTAACATTTTTAACCTAAAAGGCCATATTAAAATGATCAAACATCAATGTAAGTTTATAACTTCTAACAAAAGTACCACTCTGGTAGAGGACGCTGATAAGGGACTGGAGGTGGCAGCAGCTATGCATGTGTTCTGAAAAGGGTATGTGGGAAATCTCTGCACCTTACACTCAATTTAGCTGTGAACCTAAAACTTCTCCAAAAATTAAAGTCCAATTAAAAAAATTAAACATTTTCTTTTTTTGTTAAACTTGCAGGCTGAATTTGTCTCTCCATTGTCCCTACCCTGGCCCCATGGCCTCTGCTGTGACAGTCCACACAGTCCTGGCTCACAAACATGATCTCCAAGAGTGGAAGGGTCCTGATACCTTCTACGAGATTTACATTGTCAACTCGGCCCTATTGTTTTACAGGTAAAATAAAGCATGTGCAGATTCAACACTGCTTTTTTCCAAAATTAATTTCTGAATCAAAAATTAAAGCAGAAAATACACTTTCTTAAAAATCTATATTCCTGTAAGTTTTCTCATTCACATCTTTGGAGCTTTGAGCATCTGTTAAAATGGTTCTATTATTTCTGCCTACCTAATCTAATAAAAAGTCATCTCTTTTCTAGCTTTTACTTCTTCTCCTAGGCCACTTACTCCAGACATCATGATGTAATACCTTGCTGTGTTCACAAAAATCTAGTACAAGGTCTTAAAAATCTTTGTCATTAGAATATTGTACTTCAGAAAATATAACATTAAGTCAAAATTTTCTTCAAATTATTCTCAAATATCTACTTTTTAGCATAATTTTAGGCAGAAGCTCATTAAATTTGTATACAAGTCTTTAGAACTATATGATATTTAAAAGTCTTATTAGAATTTCTCAAGAAATATGCTCTAAAAAATGTACAAGGACAAAAATGTAATAAATATTATCTTACATTATCAGAATTCTGCAAGTCTTTAACAAAAGAATACCATGGCCATCTGCAGGTAGTTTTATAATACTAAAATTATTTTTCATTGAAAACAATAATAATGGTGGAATCAGATAGAAAAATAATTTTATAGTTTTAGATGCCTTCATTTCTGATATTTTATAGACATGATGAAATTAGCCTGTATAAATAATACTCTGTGCAAACTTAAGGACATTGAGTCTCTAGCATTTACTGTGGTAAATTTTGACAAATAATGGCAAATAAGATGAGTTTCCTACTCTATTGAACAATTGTTTTAATTATGCTCATAAAAGACTGAAATCTCAAAATTTGTTCTGCAGCTTCAAAAATCCCTTTATTTTATAATAGTATTTTTCTTTTGTTTATACTATATCTCAAACACTAATTAGAAAATTCAGATAATTTTTTACATTTTGCTTAAAATATTTTGTTTTTAAATTAGTGTTTGGAGGAGACTGTTGTCTCCTTACAGCTATTCTTCCTTCTTCTAGAAAGATAACCTCCACATTTAATCTGAGCACATATGTACAACTTTCTGTCTGTGTCTGCAAGGGAATGGGCATCTATACACCTCCTTTCTTTTTGCCTCCTCCCACCAGGCGGTGTGCAGAATAGGTGGTGAGCCATGTGGAAGAGATGGCAGAAAGAGCCTCTTGATCTGTGAGACTTCATACTGGCTGTGGACCAACTCTTCTACTGATGTGAAAGAATAAGCCTCAGCCTACTCAAGCCATTCTATCTGGGGCTTCTTATTACATAATCCTTTTATTTTTATTTTTTTTATTTTTTTGCCCTTAAAATTATTGGTAAAGAGATGGGAGTTTATTTTCCAAGTGAGAACAATATTTATTAGAATACAGGTTTGTAGCAAGTAAGGACTAAACAGATTTTTGGACTTTAGAATAGAAAAGTGAAGAAAAATGAGTAGCTACATTTATATATGCATTCTAAAATTTTCTCATTAAACAAATACTAATATGGTATTTTAAAATGTCAGGTTTCTTGGCATGGGTTGCAAGAGGGACTAGGAGTAAGGCATAATCCCTGTCCTTAAGCATATTATTCTCAAGTTGAGAGCTCCCACAAATTGCTAAGCATTAACCCATTGATTAATTCATGTGTTTACTCATTCAAATGGCAGCGAGGGCACAACTGTTTCATGGGAGTGCAGAGGAAAAGTGGCCTAATTCACTTTGGTAGTAGGTTAAAAAAAAATCTCCTCTTAGGATTTAGTGCCAGAGTCAATTTTGGAATACAAGATGGAATTAGTCAGGAAGGAATGCTGGGGAGGCACAATCAAAGAGCTTTGGGAGAGGAATCACGGCTATTTGCATTCTTATGGGGTTTGTTGTATTTAGTTTGTAGTCTAGAACCAAAACAGCCAGAATTGAAACTAGTAATGTCAGCAAAGGAATATTATGAATGAATGAATGAATATTAGAAATCTGATTTTAATTATCAAAGGTTTTATATGAGTAGTTATAAGTTCATAATTGATGATTCAAGTAACACAAGAACTGAAAAGTCTCTGTTGCATTGAGAGATTAAGTAGAGAGTGTGGGGGTGACACGATGGCAGAGATACGTGGAAGGGCATCACAAAACCAGATTGCTACAAGTGTTGGCTGAGGAGTAGATGAGCACAAAAATGAAGATAAGAAAGACCATTTCAGGAAGGTTGGCTGTGAAGAGCGGAGAGAGAAACTAGTAACTGAAGGAGGCTGCTTAAAGGGTGCTCATCAGAATAAGGCCTCAAATTTCCCTGTTAAGGCAGCACAACACCCTGAACCACTCAGTCTTTCATTGAAATAAAGTTGGTATTCTGGTGAGAGGATGGATTCTGCAACACAGTTTAGGTCTGTTGTTATTAATATGTTTTAGATACACCATCCAGTTGTAAAGTGCAGCCCATTCTTTGCAATTATGTACCATGCCTTGCCTGGGTACTAAAACGAATCTTTTCCATAATGGTAGATGTGCCTCCAGAATGGTGCTACCTGGAAATAATAATAATCCAGACCTTTCATCTCTGAATTGTACTAGTGTAATGTGGGTATAACTCAGCACAGCACTTGAAGGCCTACATCTGAATGGCTGCTTCCTCCCTGACTCCTCATTTCTCCATAGCTCCCACTCCCTACTGGTGTCAGTAAACTATGGCCAGTGAGTAAAATCCAGCCTATAACCTGTTTTCATATGGCCCTAAGTGAAAAAATGGTTTTTACATTTTAAAAAATCTGAAATAAAGAAACAAAAGAATATGCCACAGCCAATTATGTGGCCCACAAACCCTGAATATATACTATCTGAACTTTTACAGGAAAGGTTTATCAACTCCTGCCCTAGAAAATGATATAGGGTCATCATACAACTTCTTTTTTCTGCTTTTTCCTTTCATGATCTCTTCTATGCTGCTTTTAAGAGGATCTATTGCTTAATGGTCTCTAAGACTTCTCTCCATTTCTAATCCCTGTCACTTTATTGACTGCTTGCTACTCAATTCTTCTCTTCTTTCCTGTATTACTTGCCCTCCATCTCCTTTCCCTATTGTGTCTGCTGAAATTCTTGACCTCATTATAGAGGGGCTTGACATTTTATTGCCAATACAAGAAAGTATTCTTTCTGAGGTGACAAATTACAATGTGTCATATGTGTAATCTTCAAGTACTCATCTTAATTTTTGCTGTTTCTTCAGGTAAAGAAAAAAAAGAAAGGTTTTTTTTTTCATATTTCATGCCCTTCTTCCTTATCTAGTTACCTTTCCTCAGTCCTTTTTCTTAATATCACTCTTTTTCTCTTTGACTTTCATAATCCTGATTGACTCTAGTTCACTAAATTGTTACTGATTATACCACCTCCAGGAAACTGAAGCAGTCCTCAATTATTTTCTGCTTGAATTTTTTATTTGTTTGAAATGTTAAATTTAGCCAAATAAGTATTTTTTTTCCAAAATGGCCCAACATAATTTATTTTTTATGTTAAAATGTACAGAGTTCTTTTGAAAGTACTTGCTAGAAAGGGGAAAAAAAGATATTACATACGAGGAGAGAAAGGGAAGCTGGCTGGCCCAGGAGTGCGTGACATGTGTTCTAAATCACTTCATTTTTTAAAGATGAGTTGAAGCTACATAAAATGGAACTGGACATTTTTTCAACATAGGTTTTCAGCTCATGTCAGATAGTCAGCTTGGTAACTGCCAATGATCAACATAAAAAGAGCCAGCACAACAGCTTACCATGTTTTATCTCATCATGGCCCTTAAAATGATAAAATGCACCTAACCTTTTCCTCATTTTGCAACATTGGACCCTCTACAACACAATATAATCTGCAGACCTATGAAGAACTAATTATGCATATAATAAGGTTGTAATTTCTCTCCAATATTATCACCAAGTTATCTTCACATTTTAAATGTTTCCTTATAAAATTTTCCATGGTATGTACATCATTTTTTTAAACTTATTTGCATTCAAAATTAAGGGTGCTTTTCTCAAACCTTTTCATTATTACCGTCTTATATAAATGGGAGGGCAATGTGATACTAAAAGGTCCAACAAAATAAGCATTATGAAAAAAAGTCTGTTGGGCAATGTTCTAACATCCACTTAATCCATAAAGACAAGTTCTCTCAGTATTGATGTAATATAGAATATATTCTAAGTTATGCAAGAACAAAAACTTCAAGCCTGAATGGCAACAACATTTCTATGTAATGAGTCTGTTTACACACACCAAATTTAAATATCTTGGGGTTTTTACTGGTGTCTTTTATAGATTAAATCAAACCCTAAGGATGTAATCAAATTAAAAGGATTAGTGTTCATTAATAAGATGGCAGTAATATTTCATCAAAAGTTTGCTAAGTCTCTCTCTGCAAAACCAATAGATAAAAGCAGGCAGTGCATAAAAGTGCCTATCTACTGCATTAGAACATGACAAAAATAATATTTCTTAACACTGCCAAAGAACCATCTATTTCTGAAGATCATACCAGTTTCCATTGCATAGGCCAGTAAGGGTCATTAAACACCAATGGGTCTCTGAGTCCTTCTTCAGAGTCAATGACATTGTAGACTTCACTCGGGATCTCATTTTCCTCCACACAAGGTCTGCAGGGCAAAGAAGGCAAATGAACTATGAAAAACATAATCACTGCTTTTACTGTTGCTTTTTTTGTCATAAAAATTCCATTTATTTAAATTCCATTAAAAAGCACATTTGGCTGCCGAGAACATAAATATACACTTTTATTATACTTAGCATTTTTCATTTAAAAAAAATCTGTCATTTGTTTAGATAAAAATGTTAAAATATTTCCAAACTACCTGTTTCAGCTAACCACTTTCTATGTGTTTGTTGCATACAATAAATGCTGGGAAAACAAGTGATTTGGAATGTAATTCCAAAGCTATGTATATATTTCCCATTAGAAGTTATCTGCTTACATTGATCATTATCCTTACTATGTCATGTGCATTCCACTTATGACTTCTCCCAACATACATCTCTTAGAAGAGTGATTTAAATTACTTGAGCTGTAGTGGAAAACATTTTTTAAAAATCTCATTTTTCTAATTGCTCTGATGTATTTAATAAATCATTAACTGAGAAAGTGACAGCACTAGGAATTCAGGGAAGCTTTTTAACACAATGTTCTCCTAAAGACAAAACTGTAATTCAGATAGTCACATCTGCTTTGCATCTTAGGGGATTACCAAAACCAAGTATTGGAGAAAATAATCAAGCAATGACATTAATGACATATCTGTCTTAGAAATACACGTAAACTTAGTAAAATGACAGGTGAGATAAACACTACCAAATAGTAGAAAAATTCTTATTTGTAAGTATACACAAAGCTTATAAACTAAGAGTATAAATTTATCAAGAATAGGAATTATATCTAATTTTGATATAACTCTAGACCTGTGCCAATAGGTTATTTGGGAATTATTTGCTGATTTGCTTCTAGAATCTCTCAATGAAACAGCCAAGTAGAAGCATTTGCATAAGAAGACGTGTTCAGAAATGTTCTCTACAGCATCATTTGCAAAAATAAAAAGCTGGAAACAAATTAAATCGCCATTAATATGAAATTGTTTAAATCATTTTATATTCACACAGTAAAATGTTATTTAGCAGCAACAGTAAATAAATGTGATCTACAAGTATCAACTGAATACATTTCAATCAGTTCAAAAATTGTAAGCAGAGTGCAGAAGGCTATGTACAGTATGATATCATTTATATAAAGTTTTAAATCATCCCAAAACAATTTTATACATCTTTTTAAAATGATACGTATTTAGGATACAAATCTAAGCACACATAGGAAGGCCTCTGAAGAAGGCAGGGAAGAGAATCGTTCTAGGAAGGGGTATAGAGGAATTCAACTCTAGTAATGTAGTCCTTTAAAAAACTTGGAGCATTTACGACAAAATTATAAATCTAACAAATCTAGATGGTACGTACATGCTATTCATTATATGTGTCTATTTTCTACGCATATTTGTACATAAGTGTATCTACAAGCATTTATGTATATATTTTCTGTAGACTTGTAGTATGTTATAATGACAAAACACACATACACAAACAAAACCAGTGAGGCCTAGTTGTTATAAGATGGTCTGTGCACATTGGTCCTACAGTGTTTACTTCTTCACAGCAGGGTGGAACCACTAGCTCCAAAGCCCACTGGCAACAAATGCACATTTTTGCACATCCATTTGTTTCAAATGTAGTCCAAATAAGTAGATTTTTGGCCATTTAGAGCCTGCCTGCTTTGCGCAACCCCACAAAACTGCACCTAACATCTGCTAACCGTAGATAAGATAAACCCTGGGTCTGTAACAGACCCCAAGCTTCTGCTGCCCTTAAAAGCTTTCCCACCCAGAGTCTCTCCATCATGCTGCTGAGCAACATCCTCTAGACTGACGCCTCCTTCTCCAAACCTCCTCTTCCCAAGAGTTCCTTTTGCCTCCCTCTCCTTTAGCTTGGTGGCCCCCTAATTATTGCCTTTGGGAAGGCGTCCTGCAATAAGGGACCTCCCCCATTTACAAAACCACCAAAGCACCACCCAAGTAATGCTTGCTGTGTGCTACTGCCACCTCATGGTCACATCTTTAAGAAAAGGACCATTATTTCTCCAAAAATGACTATTACTTGTGAGTTTTCAGAAAAAATGCCAGAATAAAACTTTTGGATGGCCACATAAAGGAATGACAGATCATCCAAGAAGAAGGTAGCATGGTATTCACAGAGGTGGCTGGAAAGCCCCAACCTGCCCTTGGTGCTGTGAAGCCCAACGCCCTCTATCACTGCAAGAACACACTGTCAAGATCATAGGGACAGCATTTGAAATGTGTACAATACAAAATCAAGTAGGAGAGGAGAAAAGGAAGCTTTATCAAATAATTTAATTTCAAAATACTAAAGCAATGAAAATAAAAATGGAATAAAAGAAAGCATAAAGCAATTCAAGTAATATAAGTTAATAAAATCGAAGAGAATTGTTAAAATACGGAATGAAAAATATCTATGCATAGAAAAATATGGTTATCATGATCCAATTGTATATTTCACATGTATGTTCATCTACATTTATGGAAGAATACTTAATAAAATGTGAAAATGAAACTGGGATCAAGAACATTTCCTTATGGTTTTCTGTACTATTTGAATTTTTTTTTACCAACAGCATGTACAACTTTTATGTTTAAAAAATATTTTAAAGACAAAACAAATATCAAAATATTTCAGATTTTCAACGTAATTTGGGAATCTAAATTTTTAAATAAAATTTCCAGTTTATGAAAATACATTTGTAGTCAATAAAATATTAGAAGGCTATATTTGTCCCAATGTCACAAATTTTGACCTCTGCTCTATATCCTCACAATTCTTCCACATATCATTGGAATACAGAAGACTGGGAATGTTATATCTTGCGTTACATCTTACAACAGATAAGAAGGGAGTAATTATTTCAGAGAAGTAGATTTCAATGTAAATACTTATATCTTCATTTTTGTGTCCCATTCAGTTACATTCTTAGGACTATCTTCGAGAGAGTATCTAAATATTTTGTGAACCTACACTGCTTAACTTTTCAGGAAATTTTTCTTTGTTGTTAGGTTCCAGCTCATTTGCTTAGTGCAAAATTTTCATATCCTTCTCCATAACTGATTCCTGAACACGTCGACCTGCACTAAGTTTATGTAGGTGATGCTGAGACACAATCAACAACAGGTGCTTTCCTCATCTTGCACATCCCTGAAGAGCACCTGCTGTCTTCAGAAATGATTTAAGTGACCCAGGCTTACAGCATCCCATTGGAACGATTATGGTTCTTATAACTGAAGAAAATTGTATGAAAGCTACATCTTCTCTGTTGGATTCAAATTCACAGAACTGCATAGCAGAGATGCAGAGCTCTAAATAGGATGTCTTATAGGAAAATGCCAAACTGGCTCCAAGTGATGATTCCTTTTCAATTTTTTGAAAATGGTAATGTTAACCATTGCATCATTACCTATTATCCTTCTGCTAGATGTTTTATAGAAAAGCTATACTTTGGAAAGTAGTATATTACCTCACAGTCCTACCAGTTTTTTTAACCATAAATGTGCATACACAGCTACTTCACAACTAAATGACACCAAAAAAATTTTTAAAATAACAGCACATGTACACTTTTAATTTCCTAACAAGTTTCTTTTACTTTTTTTCTTTGGAAAGTAAATGTACAGATTAAAAAATATAAGTTGGCCCAGGAACTATCTTTGAGACAGTCATGGGGAATAGTCTGCTATAGATAATGAATCCACAGCCATAATACAGTTAGAGGTTTGGAAACCTTGCCAATAACAAGCTGGTAAGGGCTTGCAGACTAACCTCAATGCATGCAGTTTTCAGGCATATAATAGCTGCATGGTTAGAAGCCACTTCACTGACTCACCTGAACTCTATTCTCCGTTTCCTTTTTATGCCAATCTCACAGCATGTGTTAGAAAATATTTCCCTTTAAAGGTACACAAACTTACTAACTATCCACCTAAGAGTGTACACGGATTTGCATCCAACCACAAACTCCTGCTACAGGATATTATTAAGGTTTTTTTAAAAATGTAAAGCAATAACACAAATTTTCCTCACTGTTAAAGAAAATAAAATTCATTTGAAATGATATTTTTGTATTCTTTCTTGTTATTAAACAGTACAAAAACAAATAAAAAATATGTATTCCTTTACAAGTTTTCATGTGCTAGTCCAGTGGTCAACAAATTTTTTCTGTAAAGGGCCAGATGGTAAAAAATTTAGACTTTACAAATATCTGTCAAACTATTAAACTCTGCTATTGTGGCAGGAAAGCAACTATAAATAAATGAGCTGTATTCCAATAAAACTTCATTTAAAAAAACAAATGCAGGCAGAATTTGGCCTTTGATTTCTGGGTCATAGTTTGCAGGTTCTAGTGCTGCTATATAGCATGCTTTTATGTGACACACTCTATACCTATCAAAATGAACATCTATAACAAGAATAAAGGAAAAATTATTCATTTCCTACTGAAGTATACAAGCAATTCATATTTAAACTAGGGCACTAAATTCCAGAAGGAAAGTAAAAAGTGGTAAGAATTAAATAAACACCATTTTTGGGGGGGTGTGAGACAGGGTCTTGTTCTGTCTTCCAGGCTGGAGTGCAGTGGCACAATCGCGGCTCACTGCAGTCCCTCTTGGGATCAAGCAGTTCTCCCACTGCAGCCTCCCAAGTAGCTGGGACCACAGGCTCACACCACCACACTTGGATAATTTTTTTTCTTTTTTAAATAGAAACAAGGTCTCCCTGTGTTGCCCAGGTTGGTCTCAAACTCCTGGGCTCAAGCTATCCTCCTGCCTCAGCCTTCCAAAGTGCTGGGGTTACAGACATGAGCCACCACACCTGGCAAATAAATATATTTCTTTCCAGCAGCTCTATTTTAGATCTTTCTATTTACTTTCAAATCTTTTTGTTGAGTGTTTTAAAAATAGTAATTGACGATAAAACCTGAGAGAGGGAAAACTAACACTGCAAAGGCCAGCACTGCTGACAATTGACTTCTTTGCTAGGTGAATTGGCCATTGACTTATCACACAAAAACAGAAATGAATGTTTTCAGTGAAGGCTCTAGAAAGTGTGTTTTTAATGAAAGTTTACTCAATAAAAATAAAATGTACTTCTTCCAAAACTTAAAGTCCAAAGTAAAAGCTTTCTAGAAGAGATTTCTAGAGTGCACAAATATTGGCTTAGCTCCATAAAACCATAGCACTGTCTGTATTTAATTACCAACCCATGAGCATTCTGACAGCCCCAATGCAGTGCTTAGTAAGCATTTTACCCACAGACAGCTTGCAGATGTACAGTAGTGCTAAAATTACAAGACTTACCATGACTTGTTCTGTCAACCAACTTTGGAACTGGAGCTTACTTGTCTCTATAATGAGCTGTCTGATGTTCCATCCATTTTACCTGTAGCAAACAGGAGTAAATGTAACTAACCAAACGTTGGTATATTAGTAAGACACAAATAAAACTATTCTTCATTTGCAAGAAGCTTTCAGCAATGAGAATTTACCATACATAATTTACTCACACTTGCGCTTTTATGCAAAATAGCATACATTTAATTTTTTCCTGCATAAATTAAAATTTACCCCAGGCAATATTTCCTCAGAATTTTCTCACAATCTAGAGATCTGACTAATGTATCAGCTAACATCAGTAAAGAGGTAAATGTACCATCATGTGTCATTTGTAAATACACAAAGTAATTTAGTCACTTGAACTTTATTGCAAGATGCGCAAATCCTTACAAGCTAAGTTTGCATCATCAGATATTAAAGTATTAAGCTGTATGACTGAGAATCTTTCACAATATTAAAACACCATAATTGTAAGATATTGCTGTATTTGTTTATACATGTAGAAACTGGGGTGACATAAGATCACATGATTAAATTATTAGCTTTTAGATATCTGCGAAAAGGTTTTTTTACTGATCAGGTTTATTATACATTTCTTTAAAATTCTTTCACTTCTAAAAAGCTAAAACAATATTAGTCAATATGTAGATGGAAAAAATGTGATATTCAGAAGAATAAAAAGACTTTTACAAAATCTGCACAAAAAGTTTGTATAGAAAAGGAGTAAAAGCCAATAGGGACATATTTTGAAATGAAATAACTTATTTTTTAATGTTTTTACTTACCTTTGAGAATTGCTTATTTTTTATCATTAACCTTTAGTAAAAACAAGTACAGTGTCTTTAAAAGGAGTTTCAGCTCAAAAATTGTGACTGAGCTGGCCTCTAGGGCTCATAGTAGGTCTCAGTGAAGACCTATTAAAATATGAACTATAGTGTGCATATGTAATTATTTTTTTAGCATTGGTTCCACATAAGAAGCCTAGTAAGTAACATACCACAACCTAAATTTCTGGCATTTAGATTGAGCTTTATTAATAAAATCATATTCTACCAATCTGTGCAATGCTCAAGCAAGTTGTGAATTGAAAACATGGTAAACCAAAGGAAACAAAAAAAATTCAGAACACAAATATCCGTTTGTCCTATAAATCTACCAAATGTCCCCTCCTGACCATATTATTGCCATTGTGAATGAATGAAACTGGACTGCATTTCTGCACATATATATGCGTGTATATATATATACACGCATATATATACGCGTATATATATATGCATATATATGTGTGTGTTTAAATATATAAAAGTATAATAACAAATAAAAATGTTTTAGAACATTAGAGGAACTGGTAGCTCAGAGGCTAAGATGCCCCAAATCCTCAGTATTTTTGTGTATATATATATGTATTTTACATATATAATCACATATATTATATGTATGTACACGTTTAGATAACCCAAGCCATAGTTAAAAATTAAGTTTCTTAGTTTTATACCTGGTTTATAATTCCTTCATTCATATTTCTTTATATTCCCTGTATTTTGTTTGTGAAGTTAATCCAAACAGACATAGCATGTGGGGTTTCTTTTATTTATTTTTTTAATTTATTTTATTTTATTTTATTTTTTGAGACGGAGTCTCGCTCTGTCGCCCAGGCTGGAGTGCAGTGGCGCCATCTCGGCTCACTGCAAGCTCTGCCTCCCGGGTTCACGTCATTCTCCCGGCTCAGCCTCTGAGTAGCTGGGACTACAGGCGCCCGCCACCACACCCGGCTAATTTTTTGTATTTTTAGTAGAGACGAGGTTTCACTGTGTTAGCCAGGATGGTCTCGATCTCTTGACCTCGTGATCCGCCTGCATCGGCCTCCCAAAGTGTTGGGATTACTGGCGTGAGCCACCATGCCCGGCTGCATGTGGGATTTCTTTTCTAATGCCCTTAACCCATATTTGGTGGCAACGTGGCAGTAGGAAAGTGCATGCGGCGGTAAGGGGTTTCTACGCCATCCTCAATAAAATCATTCAGTCATAAATAAACATGAGTGATCTTCCACCATGATACTATCCTAATCACTTAGCAGGCTAGAGGCAGAGTCTCATTGTAGCAAACATTCACACACACAGCCTACATACGAAAGCTTTGCTGCTGGACAGGGGTCTTCTAACCTCTCAAAAAAACATTTGTGTGTGTTTTCTTCATAATAGCAACATCAGTGACATCTTGTCTTCTAATTGTTTATATATTATCTCCTAATCACCTCTCCCAGCTCATAACTCACAGCAAGTTGCTCTAGGACTGGAGGGAAGCTTGAGAACATACAATAGAGAGATCAAAGGATTTAGAACACTAAAATTTATACACACACAAAAAATGTTTTAGAACATCAGAGGAGGTGGCAACCCAATAGTTATTAACTTTCAGGCTTAATAAATTTTTTTCAGATACTTTAAGACAGTCAAAATGAGTAGACCAGTTGTTTGATTGCTTGTATATCTTAATGCAGAATTTAAGTTTTACTTTTGTTTGGTTCTACTGGATAAACATAGATTTTCAAGACTGTAAGGTTCACATGAGGCTTAGTGATGTTTTCATCCAACATCTTCATTGTGAAGATGGACAAACAGACCTAGACAAGGTCTAAGCCCTGCAGCCATTTTAGCAAAGTACGCACAGCAGGTCCATGGCAGAAGGCCTCAGTGGGCCACTAGGTTAAATGTCCTTTCTACAAAATGACACAATACTGGCTGAGAAAACAGGTGAAGTCAAACAAATTTTAAGCAAAAATCATCACAGAAATTCTTTAAAAGAAAAGTATTTTGTATTGTCAGGTGCTATAAGCTTAGAACTTAGACTTTGCTAACTACAACCCAAGCTCACTGGACCACTGAGAAAAGTATTCATTTGACATAATAGCTTTTTTAAAAAAATTGATGCAGTGAAGATTGGTTGAAAGTAAAATTTTGAGCAAATTATTGTCAGGGCACCCATACACATATGGCTTTAATGTCTACTTTCTGTGGTGGAAACAGAGTACCTGAAAAGAGACACTTATATTTGCCATACTAAACCTTTCTATTAATCTAGTAGCTGGCATTTCAGTCAGCTTATGTCAGGAAAATTTATGTTCAACATTTCATTTTTCTTGCTGAGATTATTGCGATATTCTAACATTCTCTTGCTTCCAGTATCTCCTACATACAATTTCCCCACACATTGCTGTCACAGCTGTCTTCCTACTCTATAAGTTTGAACTAGTCAATTCTTCCCTTAAAAACTTTCAGTGTTTCCACATTGTCTATATATACATTTAAAAAAAACTGTCATCTTTGGTGACACATTCAAATATCATGAAAATTGCCCATGTGACTCTGGAGTCCAGAATCAAATACTTCCCCATACATACTGAGATCATCCAAACTATTCAGTTACCAAATGTCTCCAATATCTTTCCTTATCCTTTTCCATACAGTCAAATACCTATTGAAGCAATTCTCTTCTTCAATATATAATTGTCACCTTCTCCTTTAAGCACTCTTTGGTTTTGAGCCAGGAGATTCATATCTGTATTCCAATATTAGTTGGTGGTTTGAATTTATTCTCCAGCGTTTAAAACCTTCTTCTTTGAATTATATTGATGCATTTGCATATATTTCACTCAAGTTTAAAATACGTTATGAAAGACTTCCTGCTTCATGTTTATACAGTTAAGCAAACTTTGGCCTCCTATAAGACTTTCATGAGACAGCACAGTAACAAGTTGTTTCAATGAATACTTTTTTTCCCCAATTTTCCGTCTTACTAAAATCTATATCTATCCTGTATCTACCAGGAGTATATGAGGAAAAGGCAGGAGTTTAGAAGGAGTAATTCATAAATAGTTAAGCTGTACTTCCAAAGCACTGCCTAAAGGATTTCCTTATTTCCAGTCTCACATCATTCCAAATCAACACAATACTATCTGGTTGGTCACTCAAAATTGCAAATCTGATTATTGTTCACGTGTTACCCATCTTTGAATTGTAACTTTAATATAATTTGAATATATGTACATTTTTAGCTATAATATAACATTCTAACTCCAAAACTTTGCATGTGGGAAGTGGCGTCTATCTGGACAGTCTCATCTCCTACCCTTCCTCCATGTGCACCTTTGCCTGGTATCCTGAATACCTCAGTGCCTTTAAACATGACATTCTTCTGTCAAGATTGGCTTTGCCCAACTTCTCTTCCTGTCAAATGCCAGACTTTAGCTCCTCTGAGAAGCCACCCCAGTACCTTCAGGAAAGTACTGTGTGTGCCCTCTTCTTATAGCATTGTCTGTTTGATTTATTGTGTTCTCATTGCATTCCCTAATTGATTTATTGTTTTGTAACTGCTTCTATCACTGTCTCCTCTGAAATATTGTAAGCTATTTAATGGTAGGGGTCTTAGTCTCATTTTATTGCATATACAGCATAGGGTCTGGCACATGGTGGGAGAGCAAATAAATATTTTTAAGTGGACAAATACAAGAATGAGCACCAGATAGATAAGAAAATGACAAGAAACTTCATTTTTCTTGCCTGGGAGGAGAGACCCAGTGTGGTATAGCCTGGTCATCCAAATGTCTTTCTGAATGAATTATAAAACCTTAGTCTACCCTCATGACACCAGCATCTCACCCTGCTGACTAACCATGATGGTGACCTCATGTCAGAACAGTCTGGAATGTTTGGGAACATTCCAGCAGAAGTGAAGTAAACCTGGTTCTTGAAATCATATGCTTTTGCTTGTTAAGTAAAATACTAAATGTCAATATTACCCTTCTAACTGACATTCAGTATTTTACTTAACAAGCAAAAGAGTATAATTTCAAGAACCAGATTTACTTCATGTCTGTTCCTCTAATCACCAAAAATATATCTTCCATTAATTTATCTCTGTTTCTAATGATTATAAACCAACAAAGCAAATATTGGTGTTTGTAATTTTTCACATAAAAAATTAGAGGCATTCACACAGTCCAAGACAGAATGTTAACATTTTTTTCTCATGCAGCCATGTGAAATTATCATCAAAAGCATTTACAAACTGTTAATGATTGTGTGTCCCTGTGCAAATAGAAATAACATGATTAACCAAAGTCCCTACATATATGATATTGAGAGGTACAGCTCAGGTCAAATGAAAAGCAAACATTTGGATAATTTATTTAGAAAAGTTTCTTTTCCCTGGGTTTCATCTGTGTATCATATCCATCTTTGTTTTGCCCCCAATATCGTGTATTTGATAGAGAATCAAAAGCCGGCAGGTATACTGACATTCCACTTCATCATTCAGGGGCTTCTAGTTTTCTAGCTCTATTGTAAGTGTTCAAATTTTAGACTCCTAAAACTTTCCCTAAAGTCTAAAAAAAAAAAAAGTCTACAAAAACGCTTTTTTTTTTTTTTTTTTTGAGACAGAGTCTCGCTCTGTAGCCCAGGCTAGAGTGCAGTGGTGCAATCTCAGCTCACTGCGACCTCTGCCTCCCAGGTTCAAGAGATTCTCCTGCCTCAGCCTCCCGAGTAGCTGGGACTACAGGGATGCACCACCACGCCCAGCTAACTTTTTTTGTATTTTTAGTAGAGATGGGGTTTCACCATGTTGGTCAGGCTGGTGTCGAACTCCTGACCTCAAATGATCCACCAACCTCAGCCTCCAAAAGTGCTGTGATTACAGGCATGAGCCACCATGCCCAGCCACTTCCCTTATTTTCTAAGAGACTCAACAAGTAATTTTGGTTGAAAAGTGACTATGTTATATACATATAACATATATAAGTGTGCATATATATATATATATATATATATATATATACCAGTTAGAAGGCATTTTCCTTCTCACAATTAGTTTAAAACAAAATTCCTTTATCTTATTCCCCCCAAAAAAGCCGAAAAAGCATAATACTGAAACATAAGACAAAACACACAGAAAAAGGGGAAAAAAAATTAGACTATGCCCAGAGCCTACTTATGCCATGTCCACAATCTGCTGAGGCTTTTTTGAAATACATGTTTTCTCTTTCAAACAAAGATAAAAAGACAAGCTTTTAGATCATGGGCTATGGGGAGGAAGAGATAATGTCTCTTGTGCTTTGATGTTACAAGTAGCTTATCATTATAGAAGAGTTCTTGTAATGAAATAAAGGTCCTGGTAAACTGAGCCTGGATATTAAATAACCAGCTTCTACACAGAAGCTTTCTGATACTCCTGTTCCTGAAACTGCAGAGCAAACATGTGCATTACGAACAAACTGCAAAGCTTATTTAATGTAGAGACTCTACTTGATAGTTTTTAAAGATATAACTTAACTAAAAAAGGAAAGTATGATTTCCATGTTCCTCAGGGAGCTTTGTTTAGAAATGTTTCTAAAATACCAACTGACAAGAAATTAGGATAAAATTGTCCATTCATCATTAAAAGCAACATATAAAATTGGTTTCAAAGTACTGTGCATTCTCTGTAAACAGAAATCGCAACCTATTGAATAATATTCAAAATGCCAATGTGTTGTTACCTTTCGTTGGTTTTAAATTAGAGGTAAATACAGGTGAAGTTTGAAAAAATATGTTAACTGTAGGTTAACAAGTAGCCTTTTAAACTGTGGCATTCTGAGCAAAATAATTATTTAAAGAAATTTGCCATATATCCTTTAGAAACATAAAAGTTTTTTGATAAAATTATTTAGGTATATATGGAAAATTCAGACAACCAATAGAAGTATAAATGAGAGATTATAAAATTCATACAAGATGTATACCACCCAGAGATTGTCACTGTTTGCCAAATTCCCTTCCAGACCTCTTTATAGACATATATAAATATGGGCATATATGGAAGGGGCCTCGTGATCCGCCCGCCTCCGCGGATAGACAGATGGACATAAACAGTCCTATATTAAAATCATGTCAATATGCACAGTACTATGTGACCTGCTCTTTCTCTCAGAAAAAATTCACAAACATCTTTCCAAGTCAATTAAAATATATTTTTAACAGTTAGTACAGCATTTGTACCAAGGCTTGTTTTTCCAATTTCTCTTTTTTATTTTATTTTATTTATTTATTTATTTATTTATTTATTTATTTATTTATTTATTTATTTTTGAGACAGAGTCTCGCTCTGTCACCCAGGCTGGAGTGCAGTGGTGCGATCTCGGCTCACTGCAACCTCTGCCTCCCAGGTTCAAGCGATTCTCCTGCCTCAGCTTCCCGAGTAGCTGGGATTATAGGCACGCGCCACCACACTCGGCTAATTTTCTATTTTTAATAGAGATGGAGTTTCACCATGTTGGCCAGCTGGTCTTGAACTCCTGACCTCAAGTGATCCATCCACCTCAGCCTCCCAAAGTGCTGGGATTACAAGGATGAGCCACCGCGCCCAGCCTATATTTCCAGTTTCTTGATGATGGACATCTAGGGACAGTAATTCTTTTATAGTTCAATAATAAAATATTATATAGATTGATTTGTAGACCATGTCTTTCCAAAAGGAACTTATAGTGGCTTACAAGAAAAATATAAGTTATAAAAGAAAAATTATTTGATATAAAAAAACAGAAAAGAGAAACAAATAAAAGGAAGAAAAAATATAAAACTCTCCTGAGAAGTAGTGTTTTGAATAAATTAGTCCTTAATTCAGGCTTCCAAATTCATCAGTAAAATACCTAAGGCAAAACAGAAAAATTCAAAATGAAAATAAATACTAGAAACAAGAATCAACAGCCACTGCCAAATCTGGATAGAATCTCCATCGACTTAAAACCTAACTGAATTAGATTTAGTAAAACAATGGCTCACAAATATAGCTACAAGTGGCACAAGAAACAGAGGAGATATTCTGACCATAAAGAAAAGAAAACAACATGCTACTTCTTGTGATAGAATACCTCTGCAAAGACACATAGCAAACTAGTAACAGTGATTGTCTTTAGCTAGGGCAAGTGGAGAATTCTGGCAATGTAGGACGCAGGGGGAATTTACATTTATTACATGTTCTGTTATGGCTTTAATATTTCTATTACAAAATACAAAAATACATTTCCTCAGTAAAAAGTTAATTACAATGTCTAAAACTTTTTCAGCCCAATATGGAATAAGTCCATTTAAAAACTATAAAGTATTATCTTAATTTTAAGTAAAAATATGGTATTTATATATATAAATGAATATATTCATATGTGAGTAAACTCATGATTTATTTTCTTCCATCTCCTTTGAAGATTTTCTTCTGTTTCTAGCATGAACATATTGTTGTATAAGCAGAAAAGCTCATACTTAAAAATAACTTGCAAAGTAATTTAAAAAAACAAGAAAGAGAACACTAAATGTAAAAATTATGATTCAATCACAATTCTTTTCAAAGCAAAATATAAACTCTAATTAATCATTTCACTATTAAAAGAAAAGGAACAAAAGTAAATGAAGTTAATTTGAGAAGTTAGCCAAATAATTTTAAAAGTCAATGGAAAACAAGGGAAAAGAAAGAAAATAGAAAGAGAAATTTTAAAAACACACAACCATTTTTAAAAAATAAAGCTATGCTTTAAAACATTAAAAAATCCCTTAATTATAATCAAGAAAAAGTGAAAAGTCAAACAACACTAGAAATTAAAAACATATAAAGAAAGCAAAATCTCTGCTAATAAATCTTTGAACGTATCTCCCCCATTCCCCCTTATCCAGTCCACCCATACTGGTCTCTTTGCTTTTCCTTGCATATGCCAGGCATATACTTGCATTTGCACTTGATTTTCCTCCTACCTAAAATTCTTTCTCTGGACATCAGCAAATTCACTCCTTTAAGTCTTTTTCCAATGTCACCTCCTCAGTGAGACCTTCCTTGACTACCCTATTTAAAATTGCACACATGCATGCACATACACACCTGACACTTTCTATCCCCCTTCCCAGTTTAATTTTTTTTCTTGCTCCTTATGACTATCTAATATAGCCTATGTTTTGGCCGGGCGCGGTGGCTCATGCCTGTAATCCCAGCACTTTGGGAGGCTGAGGCGGGGGGATCACGAGGTCAGGAGATCGAGACTGTCCTGGCTAACACGGTGAAACCTTGTCTCTACTAAAAACACACACACAAAAAACAAAAAAAAAACAAAAAGAAAACAAAAAAAACAAACAAATATAACCTATGTTTTACTTATTTATCTTGTTTATTATCTTTTTCCCTCCCTCAATAAGAATAGGTGTAAGTGAGCAGTGATTTTTCTGTTTTTCTTACTGTACATGGTAGATGCTCAGTAAATATTTGTTGAGTGAATGAATAAAAAAATTTTAAAATCTTGATATAAAATTTATGTTCTGGGCAAATACAAAGTATCCAAATTAAGGGGGGAAACAAAATAGAAAGCTGAATTGGTCAGGAGAAATTAACAAAGCTATAAAATAATTTCATCCCAATTTGGTAAAACTTTCATAGTCCTATGGTTTCACCATTATGTTTCTTCAAAATTTCAGAAAGCAGATAAATCTCTGTCTACACATATCCAAATACGCTGAAATTCGGAAAGAACTATTAACATATATTTGTGTATATTTACATGTGTGTACATATTTTATATATATATGTATGTACACATATACTTTCATGTAAGTATAGTGAAAAGATGATATATTTGATATACAGAGTTTTATGTGAGATTTTTAATGGTGAATTTGTAATGTAAACATACTTTCAAACATGTTTTTTTCCTTAACAACATAAAAAACCTTTAGAAGTCACTAAACATTTTTGGAAAATATTAATTTTTCACAACAGTGGTATTCAATACATTAATGTAACAATAAATTTTAAGATTAACAAATTTTGTTAGCTTTCTATTTTTATCTTTCTATTTTTCTATTAAAATGAAATCTGAAATAAACATTTTTATTAATTTATTAAATGTTTAGTGATTGCCTATAATGAGCTAGAGATAGTGTTTCAGCACAGGCGGTGGAGGCAAGAACAAAGATATAGTCCCATCTCTGAGACCTTAGAATATTTGTAGATGGGAAGACAGAAATTATGCAGATACTGATGAAAGTAACCCACGTAATTACAATTGTGATAGTGTGTCATAGGAGGGGTTAAGTGAGAATATAAACCACTACTGGATTTGGAGGGAAAGTCCTACTGAAGAAGTGACATAATTGAGACCTGAAGAATGCCTAGCAAAGGAGAGTATTCTAGGCAAAGGATTTGTGTACTGAGGACCTTCTGTGCATTACATAAATCTTTCTGTACCTGTCTAGTTCCTTAGGATAAATAACTAGACATTAAATCACCAGATCAATGGAAATAACCATTTGTACACTTTGGGACACATACAATCAAATTCCCCAACACTGCGTTTGCTTTAAGATGTAATCTTACCAATAAAGTATGAAAGTGTCTATTTTACTGTTCTCTCACCAGCACTGGGTATTGCATTTTGACCTTGATTTTTAAATTACATTGTGATATGATAACAATTACAGAAAAATAATAAAATATGTATAAGTATAAATAAATAATGAATTTTCAGATCCCAAATTTCCACCATCTAGAAATTACTACTTTGAACATATATTCAAAACAATACTTCATGTACATATACACATTTAAAAGGTACTGTTGTCTTTGTATTATAGTTGTTTTCCACTCACTATATTATAAGCATTTTTTAGAATAATAACTATGCATCTACATTTTCATATATTGAACAGGGTCCCATTGTTAGACTACAGTAGGTTTAACCTATTCCATATTATTATTTTTCATTTTTATGTTTAAGTGAATATTTAACTGTACATTTTTAAAAACATTTTTATCTTATTTGTGGCTTCTTGGGATTCCTAAATCAGTGGCTTAATGCATTTCAGTAGTTCTCGGAAATTATTAGCCATTGTCGCTTCAAAATAGTTTCTGCACATTTTTTTTCTCCTCTTGTTCTGGGCCTCAAACATGCTAAATCTTCTTTCCAGGTCCTCTAAGTCCCTTACCATTTTCTAAATTGTCCATATTTTTGTCTCTCTGTATTTTATTCTGGATAATTTCTAATGATCTACCTTCTAATTTCTAATTTCTAATGATATACCAGTTCAGAGTATATCAAACCTACATAATCTGCTGGTAAACCCATTCTTTGAGTTCTCAATATCAACTTGATATTTAGTTATTATAATTCCAATTGGCTCTTTTGCACATTTATCACATCACATTTATAGTTTTCATATTTTACTGAAATTTTTAAACTTAGACATTACCTCCATTAATATAGAATCGATTTTTTAATTTTTAATATCTGTAGTCCCAGTGGTCTGTTTCTAGTGTATTCTGCTTCTGTGGATAGTGGCTGATACTGTCTAGATGTATTGTGTACCATACTGTCCTTGGTTGTTTGCTAAGGACTTGTTTGAAAAATTACTTTTAGAAGTAATTTGAAACCCAGGAAAAGGATATACTACTTCAGAAGGATACTTCATTTCCTTTTGCACAGAAGGGTGGTGCCCACATGAGACCAAGACTTGAGATTTTAGGGACAATTTAGAAGACCATAGAGAGTACATTTTTTGTTCCCTATTGCAGAGACCAGCCTTTCAGGGATCTGGGCCAGACTAGGATTATTTCTCTTTGACAGGACCAAAATAGCAGTTTACAATTTAGCTGCTTTTCATAGCCAAAGTTTGACAAAGACATATTTCTTTCAGCTCTCACTCATTTCCTGTTTTGGGTCTGGTATTTTCATACTATCTTGTTAACCCCACGATCTATTTAAGAAGATATTTTGCGTTTCATCCAGGATTTTTTTGTTTTTTCAACATTGTCTTTTCTAGGGTGGTTGGTGGTTGGTCTGCGTTACCAATTCATCATTGCAAGAAATAAGTCCCCCTGAACTATTCTAATTTGTTTAAAATTAATTTTATCCACAGTTGTTATTGTTTTATAATATTGTTATTACAAATGATGCCATAATGAAAATTGCTTTAAATATACCTTTTGCTTTTAGTCATTTCCTTAAATTCCTGAAAATGAATTGCTGCATTCATATTCTGTGTATTTTAAGACATGTCATGTATCATTAACTAACCTTCCAGAAAATCTGTTTTGCTACCTTTACTTTTTTCATCAGAAAACAAATTCTCCCCAGTGCTCGTTCCCCACTGAACATACAGACATTCACACGTATAACTGTGTAATGATTTTTCACTTTTGGCAGCTTGATAGGCAGATAAATTTAAATATAAATATATTTCTTCTTTTCAAATGTTTATTTATTTGACTTCTAGTGAGACTAAGCATATGGTCATGTTTATTGAACATTTGTAGTTCTTCATTTGTGAATTACTTAATCAAATTTTCTTACTCATAAAGTAGGTAGTCAATAGTCAATTTTATTCCTATTTGTATTACTAAGATTAGTAGATATAAATGTAATTATATAAAAAGATAAAAGTAAATGTAGTCAACAAAGAAAACATCGAAATAGCATAAAAACAAAAGGCTTTAAATTACCAGAAGTAAGGTCAGATTTAACTATCCAAAGCAAAAATCAGACTTGAAAGCCTGCTTTAATAAAGTTTTATTCAAACACAACCATGCACATTTATTTGTTCATTATCAGTGGCTGCTTTTCACTACAAAGCCGGAGCTGAGGACCTGACACAGACACTAAACTGTTAACAAAGTTTAAAATATTTATTATCCTGTCCTTTACAGAAAAGATTTGCCAACTCCTGATTTAAAGGCAAGATATTATTTAATAATTATTTTATCAATATACAAAAAATACTGTCTTATTATGTTTATTATATTTATTAATTCATTTAATAAATCTATGGTATAGGTACTATTGCAGGACTTTTCCTTAGTTCAGCTAAAGGCAGGGTCCTTGTTACACGGCCACAAAAATTTAGGCTCGCAAACAATTTGAATGGTAAGTAAGACAGGGTTTTATTGGGTGAAAAGGAAGAAAAGGGGAAAACAGGGACTCGCCCCAAGCCCAGAGTCCCTGCTAGGTTGCTTCCTGCCTTGCAGTTTGAATCCCAGATTCCACACAGGAAAAGGAGGGGCCAGGCTCCTCCCAGCTGCGAAAGGCATGGACTTCCTGATGCTCCAGCCCAGTGTGCAGGTCAGTTGGAGTTTTTCAGAGGAACCCCTTCCACCTGGCTATCTCACTATAATTAACCTATTTACAGATAAAGTTATTATACAGAGCCAAGGAGGGTAAACCAATCACTCAGCATTCTAGTAGATGGCACAAAGAGATTCAAATTCAGACAATATGGATCAAGGGTCATTGGTCTTAATCTAAAAGTGAATTGCTAGCAATGTTTGTACCAAAACCTGTCACATCCCTCACCATTTTATTAAGAGCAATCTGGATGTTATTTAACATTGCAAATGATATATGAAAGAAATAACCAGCATAAGGAGAAGAACAAAACTACTGTTTGGCATGTGAACACACGAAATAAAATGAGGAAAAATATAGAACTAGTAAGATAAACTAATCATTGAGAAGAAATAGTACTACAAACAAAACCCCATAACTTTCCTCTACTACATCATTAACAAGTAAGAAGATGG
This sequence comes from Homo sapiens, assembly GCF_000001405.40. Lineage (NCBI taxonomy): Eukaryota > Metazoa > Chordata > Mammalia > Primates > Hominidae > Homo > Homo sapiens. The sequence goes on along the minus strand of NC_000006.12, from coordinate 97,688,744 downwards.
CTGGGCATGGTGGCTCACAGTTGTAATCCCAGCACTTTGGGAAGCTGAGGCAGGCAGATCACTTGAGGTCAGGAGTTCAAGTCCAGCCTGACTAACATGGTGAAACTCCGTCTCTACTAAAAATACAAAAATTAGCCAGGTGTGGTGGTGGGCGCCTGTAATCTCATCTACTTGGGAGGCTGAGGCCGGAGAATCACGTGAACCCAGAAGATGGAGTTTGCAGTGAGCTGAGATCCCGCCACTCTATACTCAAGCCTGGGCAACAGAGTGAAACTCTGTCTCAAAAAAAAAAGAAACCAGATGAAAATGAAAATGAGAAAAGTTTTTTTATAAAAGCCATAAATACATAGGCTGTCTAGGAAAAACCATAAGAAAATCTGTAGTTTCTTTACAAATAAAATTTGAAAGTGAATAAAGAGAATCAGCAAGTTTTGGATTGTGGAAGGCTTAATATCACAAATACAGCTATTTTTTTAAGAAAACATAGAGGCTAAAAATAATTTCAGATCCCAAATAAATAATTTTTATAAATAAATTTTTTTTAACCTGACAAATGAACTTAAATTTTACCTAGATAAATACTCTGGTTTGGAAGCCCACCAAATTTGGTAGGAAAAATGAATGATTCAGAGCACTTGCCCAGTCAGATGGAAGAATGAAACAATGATTACTAAAGATTTGGTCTCCTGTCAAAGGCTGGACATGTGACAATTTAAAGAACCCGATGCTCTTCATAATGAGCCTGGCATAGAGCAGGAGCTCAACAAATGTGTGCAATGAATTAATAAATGTACATATTCACCTATAACTAATCAATCGATTATAATAAATATATAACATGCATCTACAAAATCTTTACTCAAATCGTGTTGTGCTCTAAAGCCAAACTAGAATTCCAAATGGATGGAGTAGATTTCTGATTAAAATCTAGTTTATAACAAATGCCATAAAGATATTTTAAATAGGTATTTTATCCCTTCTCTAGGAATTGGTAATATACCATATGTGAAATTGCCACTGTAACTTTAAAATTTCTCGTTGTGACAAGAAAATACAGAATTCAATAGCACATCATTTTAATATTAATATCATAGAATCAAATATCTTTCCATTTCCTTTAATAATTCCTCCATTAATATTTACATTATGTAGTTGTTTGGTTTTTTTCTTGTAAATTTGTTTAAGTTTTTTATACATGCTGGATCTTAGACCTTTGTTGGACGCATAGTTTGCAAAAATTTTCTCCCATTCTGTATGTTGTCTGTTTACTTTGTTGATAGTTTTTTGGCTGTGCAGAAGCTCTTTAGTTTAATTAGATCCCATTTGTCAATTTTTGCTTTTGTTGCAATTGCTTTTGGCATCTTCTTCATGAAATCTTTGCCCATGCCAATGTCCTAAATGTTATTGCCTAGGTTGTCTTCCAGGGTTTTTACACTTTAGGGTTTTACATTTAAGTCTTTAATCCATCTTGAGTTAATTTTTCCATATGGTGTAAAGAAGGGGTCCAGTTTCAATCTTCTGCATATGGCTAGTCAGTTATCCCAGCACCATTTATTGAATAGGGAATCCTTTCTCCATTGCTTGTTTTTGTCGGATTTGTCGAAGATCAGAAAGTTGTAGGTGTTCAGTCTTACTTCTGGAGCTAAATGATGAAAACACATGGACACATACAGGGGAACAACACACGCTGGACCTTTTGGAGGGTGGAGGTTGGGAGGAGGGAGATGATCAGGAAAAATAACCAAGGAGTACCAGGCTTAATACCTGGGTGATGAAATAATCTGTACAACAAACCCCCATGGCACAAGTTTACCTATGTAACAAACCTGCATTTATACCCCTGAACTTAAAATAAAAGTAAAAGAAAATAAAAATAAATATTTACATTAGGAACTGTTGCTACCAATTCTTTTGGAGCTCTTCTTTCACATTTGACTCCTCCATGAAATGGGTGAATGTTGAAAATTGTAAATTTTTATCATTTATCTTCTTATTACTTCCTTCACATTGTAGATACATAGCATTGTTGCCAATGTAATTTCTTGGTATTTAGTTATTTGTTTAAAAAAAACATTAATAAGAGCCCAGTATGTGCCTGACATTGCATAAAGTAATTTCACAAAAGTTGTTTAATTTGGGCTATTGTTCATTAACTGTTGAGCTCACTTAATCAACTTTAAATGTCAACATTTGTTCATTAAAAACAAAACAATATTCTAGGCCACAGTAAACATCTAAAAACTATACTTGTTTTATAAAATTACTAGATATTTTAACTAATGACTATTATTCGTCACTACTTATTAATATAACAATTTCTACTAAACAATTGAATTTAAAATCAGCTACATATTACCTCAGCTCAAATATATTTTAAAATTTCCTTGAAAGTACTTGTTTTTTTAAAAAAATATATATGCCTATTGCAGAATTTTATATTACATAGTCTGGGATGTGCACAGTATATATTTATTTTAATATTTCCTCAGAAATCATCCCCCTCCCCAAGTTCCTTTTAAGTTTTGTTACTCTTTTCTGAACTGACTCCAATTTTCTGACATCTTTCCAACATTGAAGTACCCAGAAATGTATGTGATGTTCATGCAGGTACAATCGCTCAGTGGCAGAGTTTATACCATCGCAGTCTGGATCTACAAAACGTCAAGTGAGGATGATGGCTTGGACAAAAGACCTGCAGTATGTACTACTGGCCTACTCTGACAGATCTAAGTTCCTCTAAAGAGATGAACTAAACTAAGGGGGTTGAGGAGAAGAGTAATGGAGAAGGGAAGCAGAGTGGTTAGGACATGAAAAATCAGAATAAGAAAAGCAGAAACCATTAATGCCTGATGCTTTAGTTATTTAAAGAATATTTTAATAATAAATGTTCCCTAGACTTTCTTTCCTACTCACTATTTTTCTGCATACAAACTTCCTTACATAAGAATTTATATAACTTTCATATATTTTATATAGACCTTTGTCCATAGCTATTAAAAGTTATTTTCCTTTTATTCCTCTCATAATATATTTTTACTCTTCTCTAAATGTTACAAATATCTTTCCATATCAGTTCATTTGGATGATGGGGACAATGACAATTACAATTAAACTATACAGAGAGCTTATCATATATTAGGCACTTTGCTTAATGTCTCACAAAAATGACATTAAATCATCATACAGACTATCAGATAAATATGCACATTTCACAGAGAAAGAAACTGAGGCTCAGAGAGATACAGTGATTTGGCCAAGATTCCCAAGCAAGTGAGTGGCAGAGCCATGATTCACATTTAGAACATCTATTAAAATATTTATTTTTAACAGTTGCATAGTATTCATTTATGTGAGTGTACCAATATTTATTTAATTATCCCCTATTATTAGATATTAAGGTTGTTTATTGATTTTTTAACTATTATAAACAATGATGCATTTTACTCCCTTTTGAAAGTATTTCTACAGCACAAATATCTAAACATGATATTGCTGGCATAAATGTTTTCACACTTTACAACCTATCAATTTAGATTTGTAAACATTTTATTGGCATATAATAGATGTACATAGTTTCAGGGTACATATGATCATTTAAGGCATCCACATAATTTGTGAAGCTCAAATAAGTGTACTTGGGCTAGCTATCACCTTAAATATTTGTCTTTTTTAATGCTAGAAACGTGAATTATTTTCTTCTAGCTATTTTGAAAAGTGCAATAGATTGTTGTAAACTATAATCACACTACTGATTTATCTAACACTAGGTCTTATTTCTTCTTTTTGCTTTTTTGTCTCCCCGTATTTTGGATGACCAATCATCTCTCTCATTGTCAGCCTTTCCTTTTTTTACTGTTACAACACTGGCATTTTTGTAACAAGAAATTGAATTTCTCATCCTACCGTGTTAGTTCCTGTAGTAACACCACACAAGAATGCACATGCATGTGCGCACACACACGCACACATACACTCACACACTTCTCATTTTGTCCCAATATCCTCCACTGATACTATTACCTGTAATCTTAGTTGTTTATACCCATATTTGCAAAGAAAATTCATATCCAAATTTATACAGCCTCTTTTCAATAAAAAATCCATATGTGTTTTCTTGTTACAATACAACAGCTTTTCAAACATCAATTCCTCAACTTGTTACATAGTTGGACCTTCATTAGACATCCAATTGAGGAAGAAAAAAAAAACCCTCATTCCACAGAATACTCAGTATCATAGAGCTAAACTAATGAAGTTCTATAAGGGCAAGTACCATATCTGATTTTCCCCTCCAGTGCCTGACTGATGTTAGGTATTTAATACATGTTTGTTGAATAAATGAACAGAAGAGATCTAAGGAAGCCAAGAGAAAATGGTTATTGGGAAACAGGTTGTCACAGCAGTCAAAAGCAGACTCTAGACCCTGATGGCCTAGGTTAGAATCCTGTCTACACACTTAGCACTTATGGGCAAGTTTCTGAACCTCTATGCCTCAATTTCTCCATCTTTAAAATGGGGATAGCAAAAGTGCCTACTTCATTGGGTTATTGTGAGGATTACATAAGCTAATACATATAGAGCATTTAGAAGTTGCTATCATATATATGTTTTTAATGTAATTCTCAATTTTCCCTTAATTAAAAAAAAGAGGACTGACTTTACAAAACTCATTTGCCTATCATTTCTATAGGTAAATGGTTCAGTCTTTTGGTACTCCTTCCCTCACTTTCCTAGTGCTTTATGGAAACCACGCTTTTTTAAATGAATTGTTTGCTCTGGGCTAAAATGGAGATACAAAGAAGGCAAAATATCATGGTAAGTGAACTAAGGGAGGAGCACATTTACTGAAGCAAGTGAACAAATGGACCAGAAAATTATGTAAAGTGAGTTACAAGATACTCTATTTAGCCTACTGCATAAAACATGGGGTGGGGAGTTAGAAGATTTAGGTTTGAGGTGCAACCCTGACACTTAGTAACTCGTTTATTTTGCACAGGTTCACCTTTCTCAGTTTCTTCTTCTTCTTTTTTTTTAATCTGTCAATATGTCACAGACCTCACAGGTTTCCTATAGGAGTAAATAATTTAATTAAGTTGAAACACATGCAAACCAAAATTTTAGTTCTATTTACTAAATTCTGAATATTTTACTTTAAGTGCACTTGTCTTTTCTTTTAACTTTCCCATTTAATTGATTCCCCAACAAATCTTGAAATGATACTAAACGAATTTAAATATTGTTCCTAACTCTTTTTAGACATATTATTTGCCACACTACATTACAAATACTGGAGTTAATAGACTATAGACTCCAGTTCTGTGAATCCAATTGTCATATTTTTTTACATAAGTCATTCATTTTTAATTAAACCTCTGGTCTGCAAATATATTACTGCACTTCAAAACAGAATGATTTTAGAGGTGTTTAATTTTCTTTGTCATGCATTAAATTGTATCATATCTAGAAGAATAGCACAATCCAGTAGAAACAAGAAGGGCAATCTGTGAACATGCTACAGTCACTCTGTTTACGCATCCAAACTTGTGTGCCTGTGAAGAGCCAAGCACTCTACTAGAAGCTGGGAACCTAACCATAGACAAGACTGACCTGGTCCTACTCAACACAACTGGCAATCTAGTAGAGAAGACTTACAATTAAACAAGATATTATGAAAATGTGTAAGAATTGGTGCTATAAGACAATACAGAGAATCCTTGGAAGCCAAAGGAAAAGTTAATTTGGGCTAAGAAAACAAATCAGGGAAGGTCCCTGTGGAAAGTAATTTTATGCCAAGATCTGAAGACAATTAGCCAGGAGGAAACAGTGTTATGAAGAAGAGTATGGCACATTTAAAGAAGCAAAACATCCAGGTTATTGGTAGCATATAAACTGACAGGGGAAATGTCAAGTGATTGTCATAAATAGGAAGGCAGAAAACAGATTGTAGAGTTAGTACAGACCAAGCTCAGAAGTGTGTGTGTGTTTTTGTTGTTGTTGTTTTTGTTTTTTTCATTAATAGTAGAAATTTGGCTGGGTACGACGGCTCACGCCTGTAATCCCAGCACTTTGGGAGGCTGAGGCGGGCAGATCGATTGAGGCCAGGAGTTGGAGACCAGCCTGGCCAACGTGATGAGACCCTGTGTCAACTAAAAACACAAAAATTAGACAGACGTGGTGGCACACATCTGTAGTCCCAGCTACTCAGGAGGCTGAGGCAGGAGAATCTCTTGAACCCAGGAGGCAGAAGTTGCAGTGAGCCGAGATAGTGCCACTGCATTCCAGCCTGGCAACAGAGTGAGACTCTGTCTTAAACTAAACTAAACTAAACTAAACTAAACTAAACTAAACTAAACTAAACTAAAATTAAATTAAATTAAATAAATTATTTCAAATGGCTTGCCATTTGAAAAATAAACTGGTTCCTTTCCTTATACATTTTACCAAAATATATTCCTATCAAAGTGGAAATGTCCAATTTGTTCCTGGATAAGTAGGCCTGGAATTCAGAAGAGACGTCTGTGATTGATAAATAGAGTTGAGAGCCCTCAGCACACGCAAGACAAATGAAGATGATTCCAGAAAGATAGTGAACAATGACACAAGGAGAGGAGACAGGATAAAGGGGTGAGGAATGCCAGTGGCTAATGGAGAAAGGGAAAAGCAGCCTTTAAAGAAGGATAAGAAGTCAGAGCCAGAAATAGAAAGAAAGTTTGGAAAGTATGGTGTCCTGGAAGCCAAGAAGAAAGACAATTTCAGAAGACGATAGTGGGGTTATCTGCTGTGTCAAATGCAACTAAAACGTCAAAAATGAGAATATCTTCTAGTACTGAATGTATTGGAACATAAGGCATTGATGACTATGTGGAAAACAGTTACCATGAAACTGTAGATGGGACATGAGATTTCAGTGGACAGAAGTTGAGATACTTTCCCCACAGTTTGTAAATTAACATCAAATATTATGAATAATGTATCACAGGAAGATATTTGGCACAAATATCTTTAGCACATGACTGTTTCCAACTGCCTTCCCGCCTTCTTTCCAGATGTGCTCTAGTCTATCCATGTCCAATAGGAAGAACTGCACATAGAATATAATAGGATTCAAGTTAGGATCTGAATGGCATGTTATATGGTGGACTCATCCTTTCTCTCAATTATAAACTACTGTATTTTTTAATTAGACATCGATATTACCAGAGTTCTGATTAGTTTCTGTGGTAAGAACAGGCTGATTCATGGGGAGTTATATCTCACTGTAACTCATAAGTGGCTTGTTATTGACTAAATTTTTGTGCGTTGATGCTTTTTTTGTTCTACACGTCTTCATTTGTAAGCTGGCTTTTTGCTCCTAATGAAATATTTTTATTATGGATTTAACCCATTGCTCAACCTAAGACCTCTTTAGAGAAATAATTCATTCAGTGAGCAAATGCATAATGAATAGCTACCATATTTCTTATTGTGCTAGGCAATAATAAATTGTTTGTAGAACTTACTTCTTATTCTACCTTCATGTTACTGGCATAACTCACTCACGAGTTACCAGTGAGATATGACTCCCCATGAATCAGGCTATTCTGTGGTAACACAGAAACCTTAAAAATCATCTTTAAAAAGTGACTATCATGCCATTTATCATCCTCGTCCAAATCATTAATAAAGATATTGAACAAGGGATGGCCAAGGATGGAACTCAAAACACACTATCAGGGATCACATTTCTTACAGACATCAGTTCATTAAGAATAATATTTGGGGCTGGACACAGTGGCTCATGCCTGTGATTCCAGCACTTTGGGAGGCCGAGGCAGGAGGATTGCTTAAGCCCAGGAGTTAGAGACCAGCCTGGGCAACATAGTGGGACCTTATCTCTACAAATAACTTTTTTTTTTTTAATTAGCCAGGTATGATGGCATATGTCTGTAGGCATACGTCTGTACTCCCAGCTATTAGGGAAGCTGAGGCAGGAGACTCTTTTGAGGCCAGGAGGCAGTGGTTGCAGTAAGCAGTGATCACACTACTGCACTCCAGCCTTGGTGACAGAGTGAGACCCAGTCTCAAAAAAAAAAAAAAAAAAAAGAAGAAGAATATTTAGGATATAATCACTCAATCAATAAGTTACTAACCTGTTTGCCTATGTTATCACATAACCTATATGTCTCCAGACTGTTTAATAATTTGGCATCATACACTCTCAAATACCTTGTTGGACATTTAATTACACTAATTCTACCATATTTATTTGTTGACCTGTCTAGGGAACATAGCAAAATTAGTAATAATTATAAAATTATTTTAGATATTATAAGACAGAATGCCTTTAGGTCAAAATGTAGATCACTGATCTATAGTTTGTACAGTTGCTTTCTTTTCTATTTTGAAAATTTTTTTGTTTAAAAAAATGGAACTCCAAAAAAATTGAACTCCAATCTTCTGTCATTTCTTTTTTCTACAATACTATTACCCATAAATCTCATCAGTGTTCTGGGATTTAACTCATCTGGATCAAAAAACATAAATGTATCTTGATTATTTGGTTGCAAAAACATGTTTAATTTTCTCAGGCTTAAATTTTATCCAACTACACTATCTTCAGTTTATTTCCAAAATAAGATTAATGAACTTGCTGCTATGATATTTTAAGTTAGCATTCCCTTAAGTCCATACCATCTTTATTGTGATCATGAAGCCCCTTGCCCCATGAAAAACGGCAACATTATTTTACGTTGCCATCCACTCGAATTCAAGTTTCAGATATTTTTCATAAGTTGCCTCTGTTTTAGAACCGTTTTTTTTTATTGTCAGGAATAACTTGAATATCCCTGGTGGACTTATTGGGAAGGCTACATTATCTATTATTCAATAGGCTTGCTTGAGCTTCTCAAAACCATTGCTCTGGATAATTAATAAATAAACCTGCCAATAAAATAATTCATGTGGAACCCAAAATAAAGTAAATACATTTATTTGCCAAAATTTCAAGCAGGAGCATGATTAAAGGAGACTCTATTATTTTCCTTTTTATTTTATGATGCTTAGGCCTAGGATCCAAGTTACCTAGTCCACCAAATAAAATACTTCTTTTCTGTTAAAGTCATCATAAGAGGACAGAGTGTGTAGCATTGTTAAAAACTAGTTCATCTTTTGTTATGGCAATATACCTTTGAAGGGCACAGAAATTGTTTTAATTGGATAAATTAGATGTTCTTTGTGTCCATATAAAGTGTTGAATTTAATGATTTGGTTGAATGGATGTCAGTGTTTCTGTTCAATCTTTCAATTAAACTAATATTAATCTTACATTTTCTAAAGAAAGCTTAATAGCACAAGATAACTATGATATCTCCAGGACATACAGTAAGGTCACTGGATATAAATGAGCCCACATTGTTTTCCTGAATAATTCTGCAGCAAAGAAAAAGGCTATGGAAATTGTAGCTATACTAGCTTTTCTCCATTTCAATCACTTAGGACCAACACTAAAAGATCTATGTCTCTCTTTTGACACATTGTTATATGTGGCACTGAGTCCCACTACTTCATAAAGATCATTTGTAAAATTGTAATTTAACGTCGAGGTTTTGTCTGTTTCAACCAACAAAAATCAAGATAGACTTTTGACTAATCCTTTTTTTTAACTTTCTGGAAGATGCATTACAAATAAAAGTACTTTATTTGTTTTTCAAAACTAATTTGACTTGATATACACAAATGAAGTTGTAAATCACATATCACATTAGGAGACAGACTTGGGTGTGGGTTATTTTCTTTAAAAATTATATAAAAATAGAAACATAAAATACTAAAATCATTTTTTATTGCTCATAAAATTTCAAAATTATGAAGGTCCTTCAATTTGATAATGATTGGGGTTCTAGCAAGACGATTCAGAGAGGCTGTAAAATTATGAGGACACTTTAGCACTCCTGTGAGCATTTCCATTCAGAGGTGATCGACCAGCATGACTCAGAGCAATTTGCCTCGTATTTGTAGGAAAGCCTTGTTCTTTCAGACTGAAAAACTTAAAAACACGAAGAAAGCCCAATAATTTTAAATCGTGGTATATACCATACATGCCTAGAAATCCAATTTATTTTCTAAATAAAAACATCACAACTTTTAAAATATAAAGGACCTACTCACAGCAGAACAACAATCTATCCCTTCAAATTCGTATGTTAAATCGCTCTAGCTGTTATTTCTCCCAACCTGGGATTTTCTGACATGAAGAATTGTTCTAGCCATCAAAGAAGATTATTTATTTCTTTTAAACTCTTCTTGGGCTATTACTTTAAAATAATCTTGAGATTTCTTTCCAACCATCCTGTGACCTTTGGAAGTCATTCTGAATTTAGATGAATTATGTGTACTTGCATATGTCTCCTCAAAAGTTACATTTGAAAATAAAGCTATGTTCAAGAAATATATATTTATAATTCTTTTGAGTCTATTTCTATATCTATAAAATGGGGATAATAATGTCTACCTTAAAAGCATGTTGTGAGGTTTAAATGAGTACACAGTGTACTAAACTGACATGTAGCAGATGTACAATAAATACTTGCTATTTTGATATCATTATCATTATAACAATCATTGCCAACCTAAAGTTTGATGTTATATAAAAACCATTCAATTCCAAAAACTTTTTCATCTTGAGCAGATCACTCACATTTTGGGACCTCATCATAAAATATTACCAGTGGTTATAACTGGATTGTGGGTTTTTTAAAAATTCAATGTTTTTCTTTTTCTCAACTATATTATCTTTTTTAAAAATTTATGTCAAATACAATTACTTAAACAAAACAAGAACAGATACCATGTACTATATATTGCTAAGCATACTTGACACTTCTCTATTTGCAATGATTGCCATGATAGGCCGTGGAGAGAGAAGTGTGTAGCTATGGGGGTTACTAAAAACAGAAGTCAGCATCTAGAGAGATTCAGCAGTTACACAGGACACACATATTAACTGCAGATTATGAAACACCTCAAGCATCACAGATCCCTTCTAAACCCCAGACCAATGAGAGTGGGAAGGGAGGCCCCTAGTTTCTAGTTTTCCACTGTCATATCTCCAGTGTCTAGAACAGAAGATACCGAAGCATAGACAATCCTCAAACACTTTTGTTGAATGAATGGCCTCTGGATAAAGACTAGCCTTTCAAGTCAGCTAGTGAGGCTCCGCTATTGAATAAAACTGGACTTGAGAATGACATTTGGATAAAGATGTATAAGTGAGGTCTTCTGATCCTAACTCCCTTTTCTTTAATCTAGGAATCCAAATATCCCTAATAGTGGTATGGATGGGCAGATGTAGATGGAACTGGAAAAGAAAAAGGTGGTCCTTACTGGCTCACTTACTCAACAGGGGTAAAAGAGATACATAGGTAGTTAGAATTAAGAAAGCCTAAATCATGTTCACCAATCCAATTTCCCACATAGTAGGGATGATTAGGCACACATATAGGAATTAGTACATTGTTCCTTTCTTCCTCATTAGACTTTATTCTTCAACAGATTAGCTTTGAAAGGAAGCCCAGAGGAAAGAGGGAGTTAGTGGCAGGCCTTGAACTCCAGCAGTTATTATAAAAGCACCAAGGACAGCCATCCAGGTCAGGGACAGATGATTTATCTGGAAAGATTTCTGGAGTGGGCCTAGACAGAGTTTTAAAAGGTATGAGTAATCAGGTAAAGAGAAAGGGAAAGATTTTCCTACTAAAAGGCGGCACCATGAACAAAGTCACAGAGACAATAGGATCATGTAAATATGGAAACTACAATGAATTCTAGAGTCTTAAAGAATAATTTACAAGACAGAGAGGGATAAGAAATAATACCAGAAAGGCTGACACAGGCACCAGCAGTTGAGTAGAAGAGAGACAAAACTGAAAACAGGGATATCAGTTTGGGGACTGTAATATTCAAAGACAATAAACTGACTAAATTCGAGTATCAGGATATTAAAAACTGATGATTGCACCCAAACAAATCACATTCTGACAAATCTGAAGTATCCTTCCTCAAAACCTTTTAGTTTAATCCAAAAGTTAATTAAAAAGACGTTGTGCACATGTACCCTAAAACTTAAAGTATAATAATAATAAAATAAAATAAAAAGAAAACTAAAATTCAGTATAAAACAACAACAACAACAAAAAAAGATGTAATTCTAAACAAGTGAACCACATGGCTTCTGTGGTTTACTGGGCAGCATTGCACAGTAGTACAAAGGATGAGAGCTGGAGAAATCCTGGACTTGGGACTTTCTGCTCTACCAGAAACTACAAATTCTACTTCAGGAAAACAATGTGACCACAATATCAAGACAAACCGCTGAAAACAAACATGAGGCATCCCGTACAACTATGAACGGATCTAATAATTGCTGCTCCATACTTTTATCAAATGACAAACTATGATAGACAGACCAATTGGTGGCATAATGATGGATGACATTGCTTGACTTCTTAATGCATTCTCACTCCTTTGTATGAGATTTTAAATGTTTGTGGATAAATATTTTCATGCCAGGAACCAATTTAGGAACACCAGTAGCCATTTTCTACACCTATATGAGGTATAGAAAATATGAGTGAATAAGTATAATTCTCTGGATTTGAACTGACAAACTTAAGTGCCAAATCCAGTTTAATTATTTATTTGGTCACAGCCAAAATTATATAAAACTGCTGTCATACCTCTTCAGATGACAACAAATCTCTTTCTTAATTTCCCGTGTATGAGACTGGATATATTGGTTTGTAAATTTGTTTTATTTTATTTTATTTTATTTTATTTTATCAAGAGTTGAGTCTATTGCCCTACAGATGCAGCCTATATCTCACCTTTCCTACGAATATTTTTTGTCTAAAAAAGTGGCTTAAAGTAAGCATTTATAAATACCTTGACTCATGAGAGTAAAAATTTATTTGAGGTTTATAAATAAAACTATTGAAGTGAACTAACCAAGTTTCAAAATTAAAATTTCTTAACAATGTAAAATTTGAATTTCAGAATTTATCATAAGAAGGCAAAAACTTGAGAAAATAATATAATTTCTTAAGGATAATATATATTGGAATTCATAGTTTCTGGTGGAACAGGAATTTCCTTTAGGCTCCAGGCCTACCCCAGGCTCCAGATCAGCCTAACACCAGGTCATAGGCCCAGCCTCAAGGCCAGTACCCACAGAACCAGAATCCAGCCCCATCATAGCATCAGGTCAGCACCTGTCTACCCCAGCTTCAGGTCAGCATCTGGCCCAGCCACCAGCCTGGCCACCAAGGGCCTATACTCCAGCAAATCTAGGATCCAGGCCTATTCCAGCAGACCCAGAGTTAAAACTCATCCCAGTAGACCCAAGTGCTGGGCTGGCCTTTGCAAACACAGACTCCAGACCTACCCAATGGCAAGTCAGCACCTGTGGACTAAGGCTCCAAGACTACCCTTGTGGCCCAAGCACCAAGCTGGCCCACATGGACTCAGTCAACAGCTCTTTGCCAGTAGATTCAATGATGCACTAGCCCCATGGGCCCAGGATTCAAGCCTGCTCTAGCAGACCTAAGCTCTAATCCCATTACAGCAGACTCAGGTTCCAGGCCCAATCCCACACACCCAGGTACCAGACCCACTCGCCTGCTGATCCAGGGATTAGATTAGCCTGCCTGAGGATTATGACAGTAAGTATGCCTCCAGACCGTGCCAGACAGCCTGCCTAGAATCTCTTGCTGGCCTGACGTGTGAAGGGCTTTCCCTACTGAAGCCAGTTTGCAAAGACTGGAATAAGTGCATACTTCTTCCAGTACTCACACACAAATGCATGGCCACAAAAATCACAAACAATCAGGGAATCATGACATCATCAAAGTATCAAAATAAAGCACCAGTATCTGACCCTAAAAAATAGAGACTTTTTGCCTGACAAAGAATTCAAAATAATCCTCTTAAAGAAGCTCAGTGAGCTATGAGAGAATACAGATAGACAATAAACAAAATCAGGAAAACAACACACAATCAAAAGGAAAATTTCAACAGAAACCATAAAAGGAAAGTAGAACAGGAAGTCCCAAGTCCAGAATACCTCCTAATTTTTATTAATTGTTAAATTTAGAGCCTGTATTTCTAAAATAAGTGTTAAATTTTACAATTTTTTTTTTTTGAGATGAAATTTCACTCTTGTCACCTGGGCTGGAGTGCAATGGCACCATCTCGGCTCACTGCAACCTCCACCTCCCAGGTTCAGGCCATTCTCCTGCCTCAGCCTCCCAAGTAGCTGGGATTACAGGTGCCTGCCACCATGGCAAAGTTATATTGCAGATAGGATTTTTAATTTTTTTTGAGATGGAGTTTCGCTCTTGTTGCCCAGCCTGGAGTACAGTGGCACAATCTTGGCTCACTGCAACCTTCATCTCTGGGGTTCAAGTGATTCTCCTGCCTTAGCCTCCCTAACTAGCTGGGATTACAGGCACGTGCCACCATGCCTGGCCAATCTTTGGTATTTTTAGTAGAGATGGGGTTTCATATAGGATTATTATTTTATGCAAGATTTACAATCTCTAAAATTTCCTGAAACTGCTGAAAAAGCAGAATACAAAGTCATTTTAAATACATATAAATTGGTTGCAAAGCTAACTGAAGACTGACCAAAAACTCTGAGGATAATAAACATTTCGTTCATTAGAAAACCCATTCCTTTTAGAAAAATATATATCATATTTTCTGTACTTTTGTTTTTTCCTCTAATCAATCATTATAAATCTCCATAAAATTTTTGATTATCTAATATTCATTTATTACCATTTCACATTTCTTTGACATCATAATTCCATGCTTATTGGAGAAGGCATGAAAACCTACCCATGGATATTTTTCTCATGGAGAAAGAGAAATGTCTGAAACACTAGGAACCAGAAGTGTGAGGGGCTCTAATTATCTATGACTTTTTTTTTTTTAATTACATGTAATAGTCTTGTAATGGAATAGTGTTTCTTTCCAAAATCCCAGAGTCAAAAATAATATGATTTTTTTAACTGTTAAAGATTATATGATACTTTTCTCACAAATGTAAAATTATGAGTACCACAGCTAAATATACACCTAAAAATAATTATGTGATACAAACACATATTGTACATAGATGTTGCTACCATGAAATCTAAGAATGCCACTTTCCCTTCTGTAGCTATGTTTTGAATTACCTTCAGATTATTTATTTACCAAAAAAAAGAACAAAAATAAAGCTTTCCTGCAAAAAACTAATAACATGCAAGAAATCTGTGTGGCTCAGAAAACACTAGTTTATAAGCATCAACTTTATATGGTTTAGGTCATCAAGACAATCAATCGTTCATGTTTATTGAACATCTATTATGAGCAAATAACTGTTTCAACTGAGACTTTGGAGAATCTTGACCAAATCAATAATTCAACTGTGAAAAACAAGCCTAGAGGTGCACTGATTCTTCCTAGTTTTCTATACCCTAGATTTACATTCATGCTATTAAATTGGCCTCTGGCATTATGAGATTTAATTAATCTATTAATTCCAAAATCACAATGAGATTTGTTTCTTATAGAGATAATGGCCAGGAGTGCATCCACAGTGTTTCATTCATTATATGAATGGACCCTCTCACATGCCATAGTTAAACGAACAGGTGCCCTGATCATCTGGAGACAAGATAAACTTGCAGTTGTTGCCTTCTGTCAATTGCTATAGCCATTCCAGGTTTAAGAGTGTCACGGTCCCCATCTCTCTGTAAACCATGATTCTTACTACACTTACTTCCTTGATTCCTCTCAGGTAAACCACAAACGTTTTATCAACTGCAGAGTAGCGTTTAGCCTAGCTTGATTAATTTGCACACAGCTGATACCAATTCTCCTAAGATCACTCATGTGGTTTGATTCAATTAATCACACTGTTCACCAAGCTCTAAAAAGAAAAACAAGACTGTTTATTTGCATGTTGTGAACCAAAAACTCAAAATATGAGAACAGCATTAATTGGTCATTCCCATATTTTCTATAGTTGGCCCTATAGCAGAATACCCCTATAATATGCATTTATCCCTTTGTATTGGATATGGCTTATAATTAATGAAGTATAAATAGCAGTTCCTTGACCACGGTCCAGACTCATGGGACTCCTACACATCTGTCCAGGGAAAGCCAGAAGAAAGTAGAGATGCAGAGTATTATCCAAGGAGATTCTCTGCAGGGTCCACCGTAGCAGCTGTGGTCTTAACAAGATGAACTCTTTGTTCCTGATTGTCACTGCTTACAGCTGCCCATCATAGAGAGTATGGTGCTGTACAGAATATCTATTGCAATGGAGAGAGGGGGAGGCTTATTTTCTCCTTGGTTTTAGCCTACATATTATTAGTTTAACTGATCTGTTTTACTTAAGGGGACAAGTAAATTTTTACATAAGATGTTTCTGTGGTTCAGTCACATTGTCTATCCCCAACACATCCCTTATCTTTATGTCAGGTTCACAACTACACCAAATGTCATGCTCAGGGTCAGGTCCAGGCCCATGCTGAGGTCCGAGGGGAGTGGGTGGATGGGCAGATAGCTGAAACAACACTCGGGTGGGGGTGGGTGTAGGCAGGTGAAATGTACTTTCATTCAGCAGCTCTTTCATTAGCAGCTTTCTCACACTAGTCCTCTCACACTGTGAGAGGAGGCAGAGGTTGCAGTGAGCCAAGATGGTGCCACTGCACTCCATCCTGGCTGACAGAGTGAGACTCTGTCTCAAAAAAAAAAAAAAAAGTAAATTCTTGAACACATTCCAGACCTTTGAATCACAAACTCTGAATGGGATCCAAAAATATCTTTCACCTAATATTTCTAGCTGATTCCAAGTGTTTGCTCAATTATGGTTTGTATAGAACCATTATATAAAGGAATATCCAAAGCCTTACTGGAAACTGAAGAAGCTTAGTAGCAAGGTCTAATTTTCAACTACAGTTTGAGTTCTTTGCAGACCATTGAAATAATTACAGTTGCTTTTGCTCAACCTCACAGGAGTCTCATGAAGACTGGATAAGTATGGATGTGTCATGATTAAAGCAAAACATGTGAGGTATGATGGCCTGAGTTGAAGGACTGTTATGCCCTATTACTTACATATTCCTGAGAATATGTATTTCACATCTCTTAGCCTTACCTTCCTCTCCTGTGAAATGAAGTTAATAATACTTAGCTCATAGCGTCATTGGGAAGACTGAGGAGGTTATGAATTTAATGACATCTACAGTAGTACTTAGCATTTAGTATGCATCAATAAGTGTTTGGTGCTGATGCCTTTACGGCTAAAATTTTCACTCTGACCTCTCTAACAGAGATGTCATCTCCATTTCAAAAAGCAAGTTAAAGGCCAAGGGCCAAGGATTGAGAAAAGATCCTTGAGAAAGGACTGCATTTATTGTGAATGGAAAGAAATGGTTCATAACTCCTCCTTTTCTCCTTATTTCAAGAAACTCCTGAAATCTTATCTTGTCCATAAAACCTTCCCATTTCTTGCTTCTCTCTACATCGTACACTTCTATGATGATTCTAACTGTTCCCTCTACTCTCTTCACTGACCCATTGGCATAGAATGTTATTTGCATGCAATTGTTAATTTAGTTTATACACTTAGCTAGTGGCTGTCTTCTAGTCTTTGTGCCTTGTGTGTAAAACTTTGTTAATTCTATATGTCTTAGAGAAAAAAGCTCCCTGGTAGCCTAGGCTTGCTTTTCTTGCCTCTCCATTTGCATAATGTTGTATAGCACCATGTAAATACAGATACTTGATTAATGGTTTCTGACAGATGCTATCAAATAAAATATCAGTACTGCAAAATTATAAATGTATATAGTTCTTCTAACCATAATTTTGATCCTTTTTTTCTAAATCCACATAATTTCACTTTGTCTTGAGCTATACTCCTTGGTGCACTGTAATTTGAATAAAACATACACCTGAAAGATCTACTTAAGAGGAAAAAGACATAAAAACTAAATTGAGAAGCTAAATCAGGCTATTAAAAATAATCAATATTCCCCCATGGGATATCTTCTCTCTCCCTTGCTTCCTCCCTCCCTCGTGTGTGTGTGTGTGTGTGTGTGTGTGTGTCTGTGTCTCACAATGCTTCCATAATGCAACATCCTAGAAAGAGGTGATTGTCAGGATAATAATCTTTATATCACCTATCACCTAACATGTTTATTATCACTTACCTTTATTTAAATACGCAATAGTGAAATGAGTTCATCTGCACCCATCCCTTTTAGTGCAGATTTTTGGTTTGCCCTTAGTATAGCCAAGAAAGAAGATCCCAGCTGGTAACTTTCTCAAAAAGAAAAGAAGAAATGATTTGTAATGGACTGAGCTCAGGGTAAAATGTCAGGTGATCCTGATTTTTTGGGTTACAAAAATCCTTCAAACTTTAAGCTGCTACTAGCCTTGTAGAGATTCTGAACCACTGGAGATGTTAAGTAGAGATTCAGCAGAACTGAAGTATCTTCATGGATTTTATCACTTTGTTGTATAACTGAAACTATAGTTACCATCAGTCACTGTTATTTTATTTCGTGTGTGGTGTGTGTGTGTGTGTGTGTGAGAGAGAGAGAGAGAGAGAGAGAGAAAGAGAGAGAGAGAAAGAGAGATACATTTTGGTCATTTTATTTAAAAATAGTTCACCTTCAGAAATAGAAATATGGGATCTATTGATAAACAATGGTACCACTACGACTCTTAAAATTCAAGAAAACAATTAATTACACAAGAAGAGCTACCCTAAAGTTCTCTCCAGAGAGGTCCCAAAGTCAAGATAAAAAGTCTGTTGTTGGGGACATTTTCAGCATAACCTTCTCCTGGGCAGAAAAATGAGTCACTGCCCATATTTCTCAGTTAATATTTTCTTGCCTTATTTTAATGTAGGAAAATACAGAAACGATCTACAGCTGTAAGAATGTGAAATATTCGGGCATCATTCGGGGTTCTCATATGACAAGATTTATCAATCTTTAAAATGCTCAAAAGGCTGTGAGAACAAAAACTGTCAAACACAATCACACAACGGGGCTCCACAGCACCAGAAGAAATTAAGTGAGGATTTCACCAAGTAAGCTGCTCCTTCACACACTCACAGCAGCCAAGAAGAAACAGCAAGCGCTGCGGAGTTGGAAAAAACCTTGCCTCACATGTGGAATAGAACGACACCTACATAGAAAAATAGCGAGCTGGTGCAGTTATCGGCACTGACATTTCAGCTCAACTCCCTCCCTCCCTCTCTCTCTCTTTCCTCCTCAGTCCCACGGGCAGCTGCGGCATTGACAGAAGGCCTGTGTCAGTTTCCATCTGACTGTCACTCTCACTTCTGCCTCTATTATCAGCAGTGCACTGGGGCAGTCCCCGCTTGGAAGGGCTGCTGATCTCTATCTCTCCACTCTACGCTGCCCCTGCCATGAACCTGACTAAGAAGGAGCCAGCCAGAGAGAGCAGGGGGGAAAGGCTGTGCTCTGGGAAAGGGAACTGGGGGAGGGAGGAGGCGGGCGGTTGGGAGGGAAGAGGATGAGAAAAGAAAAGAGAGAAAAACCAACCAAAAAAGGTTAGGGAGGGTAGGGGTGGGCCAGAGGGTGGGGGCGGTAGCGAAGAGGAACAGACCGAGATGAGTGGGGGGCACTGATACAGTTTGGGTCCTTTTCTTATTTTTCCTATCCATTCTCCAGCGTTCAGTCTTTTGTGTCAGCTTTCAGAAATGCTCTGTTTGACTGGCAGCCTGTCACAGATCAGTTACCACCTAAAGCCGCTTGGCAGCGAGAGGTGACGGCCCAGGAAGGGATCTAAGTGGGTTTATCAGTGCTTCTTTACGCCTCGTGAGCTCCTTGACACAAAAGGAAAGGGTATTAAAGATCTAAAGCGAGCCCAAAAGCGTGAAAGCTCCTTATAGGCTGCAGGATGTGGATGTGACTAAATTTTTAAATATTTTGAGTTGATGCTATTCATTTTGCCAATAGAGTAGAAAGAATTTTTGTTACAGAAATGAGTGTATGTTCCACTTGAGTGAGATTTGGAAAAGGGAGGAAGTCCCTAAAATATGTGCTTAGAATATTACAACCGCCCTGTATTTAAAATCATGCATCTGTTTTGAATATAAATAAAATGAGACGCATTTTAAATAAAAATTTAACATTTACATGATTCAAGTTCATTTTAACATTACAGATTTCACTTTTTATGTTTAAACATTATAATTTAATATTCGGCATTTAATTTTTTTGGTGGAAATGGTAAATATGGAAAAGATCCAGAATTCATTAGTTCTCTGCCATATCTTCTCTCTTGGTCCTTTATGCATGGATTATTATTAAAGTAGTGTATTTTTAGCATGCCAATAGCTTCTCTCAACACATTCCTACAATGATAATGGTCCTACTACAGATATCCAAGGCACAGAGCCGTCCCCTTTTTTACCTAATGATAATATTTACTACTATTTTGTTATCTATCTTAAAAGGCCAAGGCTTCCATGGAATATCATTTGAGACGTATGATAATGAATTATCAATGATAACCTACTTTCTGATATCCAGACCGGACAGATTTAATTTAGAAAATGAGTACACCAAACATACTTCTGATCCCACAAACCACATATGATCATGGCAGCCAGTTTCTCATCACAAGCTATTAACTCTGGCATCAGGAGGCCCTGCATCCTGAATGCCTGCTAAAGGATTCTGGATTTGATTTTTTGTTATAATGAAAATCATGAGAAAATAAGTGATTTTTAATAATGTGTTAAAATAGGAAGTTTTCTAATTTCTTGATTTTACATAGAAAAGGCACCCCTTTTTAGTCCCTTTATTGTTTGTTTGCCAACCTGGTTTCTTTCCCCCTTTTTTTAGACTCCATGAATATTACCAAACCTCTCTCAGAGAAATTCCTGCTTGGCTGAAATTCTCTATTTCTTGACATCAATTTATAGACTAATAGATGTGTGAGGATAATCAAATTCAGCTCTATCATTTTATATATAAATACGTGTTTAAACAGTTTCCTACCTATACAGTGCCCTACATAATCTTACTGAGTCCATATTATTATTATTTAAAAATAAATAAAATAAGATTATCTAAGGAACAAAGAAGTCAAGCAAAAAAAGCACATGGGCAAAGGGATTTTGGGGTCAGAAAGACTTAGTCTTCTAGTTACTAACTGCATGGCCTTAGGTAAGTTAACCCTGACATTAACTATTCTAAACTTGGTTCTCTAATCTATAATGGGGAAAAAAATCTACCTTATAGTGTTGCTATGAGAATTAATGAGATAACACACTAAAATTTGGGGTACAATGAATAGCACATGGTAAGCATTCAATAAATAATTGCTATATTATTTCTAATTATTAGTCCAACCAGGCATCAGGTTGTGCACAGGTGTTATCACTTAAAACAAAGACGCCTGCTTTGTTTAAATTTGGGGTTAAATAGTTCAACTTGGAAACCCTGGTTAGCATTGTGAAAACAATTGTCTGTCAATTGCTTCCATACTGTTATTTATTGTTCTAAATTATCAAGACTTCTACAATAAGTAGAAGCTCTTCATTTTTCATTGAAACTAAGAGTCAAAAAGAAAGAGAAGATCCAGTAGAAGCAGGCTTTTCAGGTATGTTTACCATGAAGCATTCAGAATTTCAGTATGACTTTTACCTCAGTTTCAGAAGCTATAGAATTAAGTTAATTGTGTTACTTTTTATTGTAAACAGGCTATAGTCCCACAAAAACTATTTTCATACTGGCCAACATCAATCAGATCAGTGAGGACACCACATAGGATAGTTAGGAAGATGTAGGAGATGATGTAGGGGGTAAGGAGCAAATTTAAAAAAAAAAAAGAAAAGAAAATTAAAATTTTAAATTATCAGTCAAGGTCTCATTGTCTAACCTCATCTTCAACCAAATTTATCTCATGACTGGTATCTTCTATTAATGGCAATTAATTACATAAAACAGAAAGGAGAAGATCATTGACTGCAGTCTCAATGGCAATTTTTCAAATCCATGACCAGGGAAGAAGGAGGAGCTGAAAGAATGGTAAAGCTTGTTCAATCCCCATATGTGCCCATTAACTTCACAAAAAGAAAACTGCTCCTAGACACAGCCCCAACCGCCGCTGGTCATCTCACAAATGTGCCACTGGTCATGTACAAAAGAATGTGGATGGCTCTTGTCACAACTTCTAAAAATCATGGTGGGAATAGTGACTATGTCTACTTACTGAACAATGCTCAAGTAACCAGTCAAAGGCTTTAAAGATTTTCTTTCTTTGTTTCTTTCTGTTTCTTTTTTGTTTGTTTTATCTCAAACTAATTTGCATTTGTGGAAGGGTAGCATTTTCTGAAGGAGAAAATGCATGTTTTCTTTGCTTCATGATTGGGGGAGCAAGTAAAAAAATGACAATGATTAAAAAAGTGAGATGTTGCACTGAATCAACAATTTGAAAACATAATTTAGAGCCACTAAAATATGCCTACTAGAAAATATTAAAACATCTTTTCAAATACAAGGTCCTTATATCCTCAGAAATTATTTTATATACATAATTTTATACATATATAATTTGATATAGATTGTTCTACAGAAGATAGAAACAATATAGAGAATAAATAAATTTTGATTCAATATATTAAATATACAGATTTTTGGTAGCTCTATATCTCAGTATCCTCAGGTCATTTAATGGAAAACTAGAAATATGCTAGTAAGAGATGGTAAAAAATAAATTATGGTTGATGATATGAAGACATGAGAGGCCTGTTTTAGTAAAAGGCTCCATGTATACCAATCCTCTTCCTAATCCATTAGGACTGTACCAGCATGTTAGCACTCACAGAGCATCATCTTTTCAGCCCAGAACATTGCCATTAATTTATGATTCTATAGCTAGCAGAAACAACCTGGTTGCAAACTTACATGCTCTGGGCATCAAATAAACTAATTAAACCGATCTATACAGTAATTGTCTTCTACTGTTTACTGATTAAAAAGCCCTTGAAATAATGAGAATTCCTTGCAGTAGGAAGGCTTGGACCCATGAGCTATGATGATTATCGGCGGTCTCAGAACTCCTCCTTGAGGACATGAGGTTAAGAGGCGGTGAGGAGGAAGAAAATGCCTGGCCCGCCTCTCAACAGTCACCTTTCTGTCTGGGTCTCTGACTCTGAGACAAGTGTAACTCATCTCAGAGTTTAGAACTCAGATTCTTCATGGTCAATACTTCTTAACCAACATTGCAAGCAAGCTCAGGAGATTCTTTAGATAAATGACTTACACAAGGGCAAAAGCTATAAGGGAAAGATTAGTATAAATATAACTCTATACGAATAGTAGGACATTCTTACTCAATTTGTCCATAATTTATACTTTTTTTCTAAAAATAAAAATCATTTGCTTCTAGATAAAAGAATTTATGATTCTGGCAACAACATGGTGAGGAATATATGCATTACTAGTTAGACAAAAAACAATTTCCAAAGATTTTTAGAATTGTATGGAAGTCTCAACCACCAACATTTGGGGATGGTTTTCTTACATTTTATAAAGAAATGCAAAAGCTGAGATAACATTCTGAACATTTCTCACAACCCTCAGAATCCTGGAACATTGAATAACCTAGGCAATGTTTATGATCACTTTCTGTGCTTAGCCCTTTGCACTCAAAAATACAATATGGTTTACAATTATGTTAGAAAATTTTGTTTTAAGATTCCACAATAATCCAGATCAAGATATATTTTCTGGAGATTCTCAGTAGCACCTGTCAATTATTTCGCTACTGCTTTCACCTTTAAAAACAAAAAGGAAAAGCAGAAGAAAGACGTTTATAATAAATTACTTTAAAAAATGGAGATGAGTGCATTACAGAAATGTCCTTAAGACACCTAATTTCTATTTTTATGTGTGCCTAAAACTTAAGAGCTACTAAACTATTCTCGTGTATATTGTTTTAAAATTTATATAAATAGCTCTCAGGTTGAAAATGCTTGCTAACTTTCTGCATGAACTGAACTATCACTAGGAAATCTTCTCAAAAAGAGTGCACAATGAAAACTCAAATGCAGCTGTTAGCTGCAATTACCTATTGTGGTAAGAGTCATGTCCAACCTCTTGTAAGGTGCTAATGTTCATTTAAAGCCAGAAAGACAGACCCTATTTTTTACTAAAATAGAGGCCCTCGAATCATTAATAACTGCTGTCAACAAGATGACAAAGCAGCTTTTTAAAGTTTGATTTACAGTGTTAGTTCTGTGTTCATATCCCTCATTAGCTCTGATTCATAACTAGACAAGACAGGGCCAATATTACTGCTCTAAAGTGAAATATTATCACAACTTGATTTTTTTTTTTTTTTGCTTTAAATGGATGTGTTTTGTTGGGGTGCCCAAATATAAATTGTCTTGCCTTTGGGACATTTATTTAAATTTTTAGAAAGTAAGTTCTGGTGAATAAAAATAAATAATTATTACAATTTAAAATTCTCCTAGAATTAATTTCTTCCTCCCTTCAATGTTTGGTGACAAGTTAAATCTCATAGTTTTTCTATTTGATGGGCCAATCCACATGTTTTATTTAAAAAAACATAAAACCTGTGCATTATATACTGCCTGATTTGCCTCACAGCATTAATTTGAACACTTAAAGAAGATAAAGCATATGAAAATACCTTATATTATAAATTATACATAAATATACTTAAAAGTACTGTTTTACTGTTATTTTCCAAGTCAAACACAGTCTACACACAGAATATATTTCTTGATTCTACTCCCTATTGCCTTTAGGTGTTTACACATCAATGCTGATGTACCAAGTTCATCTTCCTTTACCCAGCATGGGAGGCTCAAGATCTGGAGAATTCTGGATACTTCAGTTGAGACTTTGAAAAATTAACTTTATCCTGCATAGCATCAGCAATAAGAATCACTAGAAAGCCTGTCTTAAATGTCTAACATTGTAGTTACTTACCTCCTTGGACTAATGTAAAATGTTCTGGAGCCTCCTGCTCTGCTAGATAGAATGGACCAAGGCTGTCACCTTGGAAAGCAAAGGGCAGAGCTCTGAAAATATGACACATAGAAAGGCATTAGAGGGACCTGAGAAAATACCTAAAGCATAGCAAGCTACTTCTGGAGTTGATCCTGGACAGGCAAGGAGAAGTGTAGGTCACAGGAAGCCTAGGAAGCAAACAGGTCCACTGTGTGAAGCACAGCTGGCTGGATACAGTGGGCATTTTGTGCTCTGCATAAGAGCATTCTGTTAAGAGGGCACAGTAGCAGTGAAGGCCAGCCCACATCTTCTCACAGAGATGTGCTCCCTGAAGCTGCCAGTGTGCCCCCATGGGGTCACACTTTTTTCTTGATATTTTCCTGAGTTTGTATGCCTAGGATGGTGCTCTTGCACAGAGGGGTAACCTTTTATATTCTTCCAGCTAGAGAGAGAGAGAGATAAAACATTTTATTTTAATTTGCACACAGGTACAGCATAAACTGCTGGGAGCTCTGGGCTGAAGAATGCCACAGAGAAAATCATGGTAGATTGTTACTTCCAAAGGAAAGACCAAGTGGAAAGAATTTCCTTAAAGTGGATCCTCCTCCTTTAGAGAATTTATGAATTAGCTATGAGGCAAATTTGTGAAAAGCTAAGGATTTCCCAGAACTCTGGAGTTAAAATGGTTCTGTGTCTGAAAATATTTCTAAGTGAAATGATACAATTCTACTTTAAATGTACGGGAAAGACCCCAGATATCACAAGCTGTGGGTATGGTAAGAATAAAGAGCATGTTAGAGCTTCCCAGAGAGAGAGGTAAGAAATCTTTTTTTTTTAATGTGTTTCTCCTACACTATCTGTAAGTTCTATGATGGCAGGTAGTATTAGTGTTGGCCCCTAAAAACCTTTGAACTAGCCGTGCTCAGCACTTGCACAGTGCTTACTATTATCCAGGTAGTGTCCTAAGCACTTTATATGTAATACATAATTTAATACAATAATCCTATAAAGTAAGTACTATTTTGATTCCTAATTTCTGAATAAGGAACTTAATCAACTTGATCGTAAATCATGCATGTAGGGCTGAGATTTGAACCCAAGCAATCTAGCTTAGCCTCAGAGTCTGCCCTCTTAACCACTTCTATAGTATCCTAAATAAATATTTTTATGAATAAATACATGAATTGCATAATGTGGCCAATTCAGAGAACTGTTACGCAGTCTTAATTATATTGGATTTCACATTATTTTTGGTCTCTGGGAAAATTTTAGTTTAGCACCCGAGACTTCAGAAATTGTGCTGCCTGAGTTGCAGTACCTTAAAATGCAGACAATGAGAAAGTTATAGTAAAATGTCTCCAAGTGTTACAATGAGAAAATATAAGTAGACACAGGAGCACACACTTAAAATGTCTAATCTAGTCTGGGCGGATGGGGATACCAGGAAAACTTTCAGAGGAAAGGAATAGCACAACTGAAATGGGATCTAAAGGTAGATCAAGACAAAAAGGAAGGAAGGGTGTTCTTGGCAGAGATAATTCCATGTATGACAAGCAAGTGGATAAAAAATAGGGGAGTGTACCTGAGGAACAGAAAAATAAATTGTTCAGTATATTTTTACCCTAGAATGTGTGAGAGAGAAGGGAAAAGATGAAGCTTACAAAGAATGGGGAACAGATCTCAGAAGGCCTGGGAAACCTTAACGAATTTAGACTTTGGGAATAGCAAGTCAGTGATGGATTATATGCAGGCAGATCAAAGAAGCAATATGAAAAGACTTGAGTTTGATTACTGTGGCTGATGTGTGGAGAGCAGATTGGAGGGTGGCAAGGCTGTGGTCTGGGAGTCAGTTTAAAAGGCTGTTCAAGCAATTTAGGAAAGAAGATAAGTTTCACACAGTGTGTGTTTGAGATGTCTGAAAGACAATCAAGTGAAGATGTCCAGAAATACATTGTATTTCTAGAAATGGAACTCAGCAGAGAGGTCTGAAATAGAGAAACTAACATAAGTCCTCGGTCTGAAGTTGTACCTCAGTGCTGAAGAGTGGATGAGAATCCCCAAGAGTGTGGAGTGAGAAGAGTCCCCAAGCCAGAATCCTGAAGAACATCAACATTTAAAGCCTGGGCAAAGGAAAAGAAGACTGAGAGAGGGAGAAAAAATACCAGGAGGTTGTATGTTTTCAAAGCCAGCACATGCATACCGATGTAACAAACCTGCACATTGTGCACATGTACCCTAAAACTTAAAGTATAATAATAATAAAATAAAATAAAATAAAAGGCAAAAAAATGTGGTAATGTAGATCAAAATCCATTCACAGGCAACTAATATGAAGGTTAAAAATATTCATTGGAATTAGCCCCACGGAAGTGCTGTGTGACCTCAGTGAAACGAGATTCTCATTTGGGTCCTGAGCACAGAAATAAAAGACTAAGTACAAAGGGAAAATGTAGACACCTTTTTCCAAAATTGTGGCTTTTAGGAGAAAGAAACTAAGCAATAGCTGGAGAGGGGAGTTCATGAAGAAACTGTTGATTTTAAGATAGCAGGAATGTGAGTGTATCTGAGAACTCACGGGAAGGAGTTGGTGGAGAAAGGTTGAAGGTAAAGGAAACAGAAAGGACAACCCCTATTGCAAAAGCCCTGAGAAGGCAGAAAAAGAAGGAATTCAGGGCCCAAGTCAAGAGCTTGGCCCAGAAAGGAGAGGAGACATTTATTCAGTTGTAAAGGAAGAAAGGAGGAAATAAGAATGAGAATGCAGATAAGTATGTAGGTAGAACTGTCAGAATAATAAGGGATTTTTAATCTGATGGATATAATTTTCTTCATGAATTCAGTTTATTTTAGTGCATTTGTACTTACTAATATTTTCTTTGTACTTATTGGTAAATTGAGTTGACCCTTCTACATATATATATATATTTATAAATATTTACCTGCACTTCTATCTATCTTAGATAAGGTATCTTTAAAATATTTACCTACACTTCTCTCTCTCTCTCTCCCTCTCTCTCTTTCTATCTTAGATAGGTCAAATAGAGACAGAGAGAGAGAGAGAGAGAGAGAGAGAGAGAGAAGTGTAGGTAAATACTTTAAAAATAGCATATAGCCTAACAGCCTATATTACTTGTATTATAATACTTTACAATAGGAAATCAATAAATACATGATGATTGATTTTTGAAAACATCTCATTTTACACTTATGCTAACAATAGGGCAAAAATGTGTCAACTGTTTTAATGTATTCTTCTGTGTTTACCACATGCAACAATAAAAATGCAAAATAAAACTTGGGGGCTAAGAATATTATTCCAATATTTCTATTTCTTGGGTGGCAGTGAAAAAGAGGGCTACAAATTAGGTTGCCTATCATATAAAAAATAACAAATTTTGGTTTTCGTTCTATGTAAATTTCATGTATTGAAATAAAAAGGAATTATCTAATGACATCTATGAAAGTATGCCCAATTAATCAATTCCTTGTTTATGTTTATGCCTTACAAATAAAATACATCTTTGCCATTTCAGCTACTAGCACACTCTCAATTGGATACTATATTAATAGCTTACACCTGAGTGCAATAATCATGAGAGTATTTGGCAAAGGTTTAAATCAAGCTGGTCCAACCTGTGGCCTGCAGGCCACATGCGGCCCAGCATAGCTTTGAATACAGTCCGACACAAATTTGTAAACTTTCTTAAAATCTTATGAGTTTTTTTGTGATTTTTTTTAGCTCATCAGCTATTGTTAATATTAGTATATTTTATGTGTGGCCCACGACAATTCTTCTTCTTCTAATGTGGCCCAGGGAAGCCAAAAGATTGGACAGCCCTGGTTTAAATAAGCCTATATTTGCTAGTGGAAAATTCTGAGAAAATAATTTGACACTGAATCCCACTTACTCTTTTTCATTAAAAAAAATACAGTATAATAGTCCAACAGTTAAACATCTATATCATCAAATGTTTTAAAACAATACTTTGGGGGGGAAAAAGTAATTAAGGCAAAGCTGGGCACCTGGGCTCTGACAACTCCTCTGACAATGCCAGTTGTAAAGCCTAAAGTCACATGTTTCTTACCTAATTTGAGTTTTGCACACAAAATTTGAATTAGACAATTTTCATTCAAATCCCTGTCCCCTTTCTCCCTATAACCTATTTGAACTTCAAACCTTCCTTTCAACTTTTGCATTTCGTAAGGAAGTTCAATTCTCTGTCAAGAATAAAATATTTTCTTTCTTATACAATTCATTATAGATGATGGAAGTCATTTCATTAGTTCTCTTGTAGATGGCAGGTCTGTGTCTCAATTCAAGTAGGTTGAATTTGCCAGTCTCAAAAGACCTTTAATTGGTCTTTGGGGTATCACTCTACCTCCTTTTACTTATATGTGACTTGCTGTCAAAAAATTCTGAGTGTTTAAGCTATATTTGTTTAAGTTAAAATTATCTACACAATATTTCAATAAACTAGTTGGAGACTTATTACCAGTGCAGAAAAAAAAAAAACTTGGCTCACTGTCATATGAAATTCTGGGACAGAACCCATATGACCAAATCTCTAGATTGCTATCCAGGTTATAGTCACTCACTTCTTAATGTTTTGGTCTTATCTAGGTTTGCAAGATTTGGAAACCAAAAACCAGGACTCAGGATACTCAAAGTTGAATTTCACATAAACATTGGATGAATTTTTAATATAATTATATCCCATGCAATATTTAAGATATACTAAAAATTGATTCATTGTTTATCTGATTTCAAATTTAACTAGGTATCATGTATGTTACCTGACAACCCTAACTGCCCCTCATCTGTGAAGAAAATATTGATAATTCTGTTTCTCTTTGAGTGATTCTTCTGGCCTAAACAATATTGCAAACTCACATTTCCAAATCTCAGAGTTAATACTAGAAATTTGCTTGGAATTCCTTAAAATAAGAAGTTTTGAATCTTCCAACCCCAGATTCTTAACCAAATGCCTATATTGGTAATTACAATTATCTTTTTCTTAAAAAAAGAAAATAATCCAGGGAAGTTTGACCTAGTATAGCTTAATGTCAATACTCCAAAAGGAAACTGAAGCAAACATTCAAATAAAAATTCTACAAGCAAACTTGTAGAAAATTGAGAGCTATTAGAAACCCTGAGTATGACAAGAAAAAAAAATCATGGCACACCAATCAAATCTTAGAGTAGATATTGTAGATAAAGAGAAGCAAGAAATAGGATGCAACTTTACCATTAGCTTTGCTTATGATATACTTACTATAAAAATTTTAGGAAAACATGCTATTTTCAAAGGCCAAATGTTTGAAGCACCATACTCAAAGGCCATTATCAGAGGCTCACAAACAACAGAAGTGAAATGAGCAGTCCTGCCTGAGAAGCTGCCTCGGCTCAAAGTCAATTAAAATTATTGTAATGACTAAATGACAATGACATGATAGCATCCAGAAGACAAGAGTTACTAACGAAAAAAAACAGGGAAGAGATGAAGCTAAATCTCTATAGTGAAGGTCAATTCCTGTTAATACAGGTAATTTTAAAAGATTCAAAACCTGAAGCAGAATTTGCATGGGAAAAAATACATAATACTCCATCCGTAGAAATTGTATCATCTGCCAACAGACCCAGTGCAAATTTAATGTTCTCGAACTATCTCAAATCCAGGGAATCTGCTAACACTTTGAAAAACAGGGTTATTAATAAAAAAACAATTGACTTATCCTCTCTTACTGAGGCGATTTAAATGTGAGTAGTAAATGGGACACAGTTTGAAACTGCTGTTTTCATGACATTGAAAAGAGGCAGTATTAGTGTCCATTTGGTTTGGATTTATCTTTTCAGCCTATTTCAAGTCAAAGCTGCTAGTCATAAGAACTTGAAATGGGTGTCATGATTTGGGCCTAGCCTATTTGCCCGCTTCATATAAAAATGCATCTATCTAAATGGGCCAATTTTTGAAATACGAGTGATAGTATGTATTCCCTGTCTACATTTGAAAAATAAGATAAGGGAGATTCTGATTGGCTTTAAAAATTCAGAATATTATGTAATTCTAGAACTGACCAAGTGAATATAAATCAGTAAGCAGCTAGGCCACTGTAAGTGTAAGAGAAAATTATTTAAGACCCACAAAGCAATGCACTCTCCCAGAAATCACTTATAAAATCAATCTCTTCTCAGACATTTGTTTTAGATGTAGTCATTTGATCCCTGTTTTTATCTTGAGGTGATTTCTAATTACTCTGTTCCTGAAGTTCTTGTCATTAAAAAAAAGATAATACAAAAGTATTAACCTGCAAAAAATAAATGCTAAATAAGTATTTTTTTATAGCTGTTGCATGGACCACATTTGTTAAAGTTGTTACTGACCATTACTTTTTATATATTAAAACATCATTATCTGCTCCTTGAAGGTTTTAGTGGCTTCAGAGCTTAGCTTTTAATTCTTAATACCCTAAAGACAACAGGCCTGAAAGGACAGAGCATAAAAGAAACTACTTTACTGGAAGAAAGGGCTTCTTAATCCGCATTGGAATTGTGCTCGAAATACATTACGTTTTTTAGCCTTTCAAATTTTTTTGATTTAAATCACAGACCTAGTATGAGAATGTAACAGCCTGAAAAATATTTTCTTACTAAGACCTAAGGGTATACGTCACTCTAGAAATAAGGAAACACTCAAATGCTGCACATAGGCTAGGAAACGTTTCCCAGCTTTGGGTTTGTTTTGTTTTTTGCTGCTTCAGGATTCCAGTGCAATGTCTCTGACCCTCTGATCACTTGTAAAACCCCTCGCCCTTGTCAACTATGACCAACAATTAGGAACTCTGCATGGAGGATCCTCCTTCCCTCCTGTTACATAGTTAGTCCTTGTTTTCTAATGTTAGCCGTGCAAAACGATATATCTTTATACAATAGGCAACCACTTAGGAATCAATTTGGTGGTGTTTTATTCCTTTTATACTACTTTCAAGTAATTCAATTAGCTTTAAAGAAAAAAGCATTCTACTTCTGGTTAAGAGCCTAGACCTAACCAAAATTCTTTTAAAACAAGCTAAAAGTCTTGTGTTACTATTAATACCTAAAAAATAATATTAGATCTCCAAACAAAAGCATTGCTTCTCTGTCCAATTTGATGTCTTTTTCATGCTGCCTCAGTGATGGCCAAATAATTGGTTGTTCACTTGTGTCCTTGTCTCCCCCGACAGTTCCACAGATGCCCTGAACAATGCTCCAAAGACTGCTTTCAGTAGGGGCAAATCCTCATTAATCATTCCTGGCTGACAGCACAAGGGGACACCTGCATCTGGTGCAGAAGCCCAGCCATAGTTCAGGGGAGTGTGGATCAAAAACCAACCCATGCAAGGTATGGGAGACTACTTTTAACAGGAATGTGAAAAACAACAACCACACACACAATCCAAGCAACAAAAACAAATCCTCTTTTGGCATTTCCATTTATTTAATATCTCAGACTGAAGCTGTGGTTCATGTTGCCACTAAAACACCATTCTACTCTAAGCAAGTATATCAGAGAACTAACCACACACAGAGTTATGATAAATGGCTACTAAATTCTTCATGCTCACATCAACCAATGTTAGCATTAAATACTGATAAACTGTCACATAATTTTCATTTAGAAATGATTTCAGTTTCAGCTTCCTATCTTATGGTGCTCGTAAATATTTCCCCTACTATATTTCACAAGTAGAATGTATGAAATATACACATTTTTAGCAAGAGCTCTTGGTCCTATGTGATTGCTTTCTTTTATTGAAATAATAAATATTTCTATTTTTAAAGGGTTAAAAAGAATCCAGGCAATACACCCAGGAAATTATGTATATCATTATGTACTATTGCAGCTGTTTTAACTTGCTTTTTGAATAAAATGAAGCATTTTTGTACTTTTACAGAAGAGTTTTCTCTCACTTGTCATTATTTTTCTAATTGTATCCCTTAGAGAAAAGACCATAAATAATGAACCCCAATTCATATCTCATAGTTTTGTCTTAAGTAAAACTAAATATGTTTGTAGAGTACCAGAAAATAAAAGACTAGTAGTTAAAATACCTAGGAGACTTAGGGAATACAATACATCAAGGAATTACAACAATAAAAAAAGGAGGTGATAAGCAAACTAAGAGACCTGCAAATAAAAGTGATAAAAGACTACAAAGATTAATCAAGTTGATGTTTATGCTGCTCAGTTTGTAAAAACAAATACAGACTTTTCTGTATGTTGGAGATTAATTATAACTATTATACATATAAAATTTAAAAGTTAAACATCAATTGATATACTACAATTTATAGTAAGTCCATATTGGAGATCTTTGGTTTGAAAATGTAATTAAGTTTCGAAGTTCTAGTTTTAAAAAAAATACATAAGGGCAATGTTGTAAGTTGGATAGAAGCTAAAGGTCCCCAAAGTGAAAATTTAGTTTGGGTTTAGTTTGGATATTTAGAATAATTTAGATATAAATATTTAGGGATTTTAACAGACAAATAATCTTGGGAAAATTATACTTCTCAAGTCATTATAACATCCCTTAACTTCATTATTTACAAACATATTTAATTTAAAAGAATGTCTACAAAGCTGAAGATGGAAGAATGGACATGAAGATAAAGAGATAACAGCTTAATAATCAGCAGAGTATTCAGTGGTAGTAAATACTATTTACTACTATTGAAAGGCTATGCAAGAGACACTTCCAGTATCCCAGAGAAGTTCAAACTGCCATTCTCTTCAACTTTGCTAGGGCCTGTCCCATTGCAAGGACACAGCCACCATGTAGTGGAGCTCTTTGCCTAAGGTACGCTTCCGTCCTTTATGGATGCCGTTGGTAACACCAAGAACTCCAAACCTGTACTGCACC
This sequence comes from Homo sapiens, assembly GCF_000001405.40. Lineage (NCBI taxonomy): Eukaryota > Metazoa > Chordata > Mammalia > Primates > Hominidae > Homo > Homo sapiens. Next base: position 97,654,800 of record NC_000006.12, on the reverse strand, counting down.
TAGCTAATTAAGTGTAGTGGCCCCATATTCTGCTTAGAGACCTTTCTGGGTTTTGTACTTTTTTCTTCCATTATAAACAAGAATTATGGCATGTACACTCTTCATTAGGAGCTATGGAAACATAGCCAAAAGTGCCCTCAAGCATATTTTAGTTAAAGCTTGGGAAGAAGACACTAACCCCTTCTTATACAGAAAACATAATTGTAAGGAGGAAAACAGAGGCAGAAATAAGAAAGGGGGGAGAGAAGAAGGGAGGGAGCAAAAAAAGAGGATAGTTGTAAAATTCTTTGCATAACCAATCTCTGGGTACTCTGATTACGGTCAAAGACATTTTTTTTTCCACAGATGACTTCAACTTTTCCCAATACTAAGATATGAAGAATAAGTAACTAGCAACTAATTTTAATTAAACATTAATTCCATGGAAGGCACTTTTTTCTGAGACCGAGTCTTGCTCTATCACCCAGGCTGGAGTGCAGTGGCGCGATGTTGGCTCACTGCAGTGGCACAATCTTGGTTCACTGTAGCCTCCACCCCCCGGATTCAAGCAATCCTCCTGCCTCAGCCTCCTGAGTAGCTGGAACCACAGGCACGGGCTGCCACACCCAGCTAATTTTTGTATTTTTAGTAGAGAAGGGGTTTCATCATATTGGCCAGGTGTTGATCTCCTGACCCTGTGATCCGCCCACCTCAGCCTCCCAAAGTGCTGGGATAATAGGCATGAGCCACCGCTTTTGTGTGGCTATCCTATTAAATCCTTACAACATTCTTTTAAAATACATATCATTATCTCAATTTTGCAAATGAGGAAATTGAGAATCAAGAAGGTTAAATAATATGCCCAAGTCACAAAGCCAAAGTAAAGCCAGGTTTCAAATTAGATCTGCCTTTCTCAGAAGCACATATTCTTTCCACAAAACCATACTATGTCAACAATTTATTTCCACATCTCTGGATTGAGTCTAAAAGCCTCCCATCTGTCCACTGAGGCAAATCCTCAAATTTGTGGCACATGAGCTAATTTTCATTTGGTTTTCATGTGCTCATGACTCCATCCCTCCCATACTCAACTAGCACCTTCCCATTCATTCTTTGTGTCTCAGCTTAGTGTCACCTCACTAGGATATTTTCTCCTCATAATTGCCCCTAAAGTATCCTTCAACAACTTTTGCATTATAGTATTTTTCACAATGTATTGCAATTGCCTGTTTACTTATCTTTACTGTTCTCTAATCTCTATTCCCAGGTACTGGAGAGTATTTTATCCAGCATAGCTAACAACTATTTCTGGAAGGAAGGAAGGAAGGAAGGAAGGAAGGAAGGAAGGAAGGAAGGGAGGAAGGGAGGGAGGGAGGGAGGGAGGGAGGGAGGGAGGGAGGGAGGGAGGGAGGGAGGGGAGGGGAGGGGAGGGGAGGAAGGAAGGAGTAGAAGAAGGGAGGGGTGACTTGTAAAAAGACTATTACAAATATGTTAGCATGTGAAAAAATTGGAACAAAATAATTGTACTACCTCAAGAAAAGATCAAGATTTGACTTCACATTTCAATTTGAATTTGAGATGTTTATTTTCTTTTGTTCTAAAATGCCCAAGGAAAATAGTAGGGGCATGTCACCTTGGATTATCAATATGTAAAGAAGTACTAAAATTTAGATTTAAATAGTCATTCAAAAATAAGCTGCATTTATGAACCAGCTGAGACATTTGTAGTTACCATTGTAACTGGTAATGTTGCTTTCTTGGAAATTTATATTTTTTATATTTAGTGATAAATATTTTACAGACTCTAGTATCATCGTCTTTTAAACCTTATTCCAGTTAATTAAATAAACCTGAAGCAGAGCTTTTCTAATTCATTTTTCAAACACAATAGAAGACCCATTAAAACATTGTTATTTATTACACATTTTCATATATATCATTAAGTTATTATTTCTAAAACAACAAAAAAGTAACAGTAAAGTTTATTTTATTTAGATGAGTGGAAACCAAACATCATAGTCCTCACTCTCAAAAATAACATCAACTACAATGCATTGTAAAATGGGATACAAATGGTGAATATACAATAAGAGATTTCACATTTTATGTTGAGCATTAAGATTTTTGCGTTGAAATGCTTCTTTTTTTAATAATAACTTGAGTTCTAATAAGCTTAAATGACAATTTATTCCCTTTTATTTTATGTATCAGGAAAAAACAAAGCCTGAAAAGGTTACGTGACTTACTCTAGCTCATGTAAGTAAAATTAAAATCTATGCTTCCAACTCCAAGCTTAGTGGTAATTCCAGAGAACATGCTGGATGGAACGTTACATGATATATTTTAGGGGTAGGCCCACAGTGGTCTATGGGCCAAACCTGGCCAGTTGCTTGTTCTTGGTAAATATTTATTGGAACAGAGCCACTCCTATCTGTTTATGCATTGTCTATGGCTGATTTTGTGCTATAACAGCAGAGCGAATAGTTACTCCAGAGACTATGCCCACAAAGCTGAAAACATTTACTATCTTCGCTTATAGAAAAACTGAGCTCTGAATATTCAATAGGAATATGTTGCAACAAAGGTTTATAGTGGAATTAAGCCAGCCCCATCAATACATTATAACTTAAAAAATTAGGCATTATAACTACGTCATTGATGAAATAAAAGGCATTTTAGAAAATTAAGAATGAACTATGTGCTGACTCCATGTTAAATTATCACAACATGACTCACAACATCACTCTTGTTATGTTTTTTTTTTTAATTGAGGTTTAAAGTGGCTATATAACTTGTTCTTGGTTATTCAACCAGTCGATAGCAAAGATAGAATCTGACCTAGAATCTGATTCCAGAAAAAATCAAATAGCATACAAATAAGTGACCAAGATAAACATTAAGTATCACTCATCTAGAAAAAATAATAATTCAAGAAACCAAAAAAATTTATTTCTGTGTGTGTGCGTGTATATATATATATATATATATATATACGCACATACGCACACACACACACACTCACATTTTATATATATATATATAATTCATAATATTAAAGTGAGTTAAGGGGATATTTCCATCCTTCACACTAAAAAAGACTGCCTCAGCATGTACCAATCATAGAAAGAGAAAGAGTTGCACAAAATTTAAAAGTATAATTATCAAAAAAAAAGAATTAAATAGGGAAATTAAAAGAAAGAATGAGGAATCTCTGAATAGAGGACAGACAATGGAAGAAAGGAAAAATAATCAAAGAAAAAAAAAATACAGTTTACTACACTAAGGAGGAAACATGTATTCAGAACTAAAATCCCCTATATATGTCAATTTGAGTGGAGGGATAAAATATACACTTATATTAATTCTGGTTAAATTTCAATATTCCAAAGATAAAGAAATATTACCCAGCCTCTGCAACATGGCAAGACCCCGTCTCTACTAAAAATACAAAAGAAAAAAAAAAAGTTGCCAGGTGTGGTGGCGCACCTGTGGTCCTAGCCACTTGGAAGGCTGAAGTGGGTGGATTGCTTGAGCCCAGGAGGCAGAGGTTGTGGTGAGCCAAGATCATGCCACTGTACTCCAGCTTGGGTGACAGAGCAAGACCTTGTCTCAAATAAATAAATACATAAGAAAAAAGACTAAAATCTTTCAGAGAGAGAGAAAAAAGTTTACTTACTAAGCAGTGAGATTCAAAACATGAAATTTCTCAAAGCCACAATTCACACTAAAAGATATTACATTAATGCCTTCAAAGTGCTGACATAAAATTATTTTGATCCCATAATTCCATGCCCATGCCAACTTTCAATCAACTGTCAGAGTAAAATAAAATATTTTTGGATGAGCAGAACAGAAAAATGCATCTCCTGTGCAACCTCTAATGAAACATTACTCAAGGGTGTTCTCCAGCAAAACAAAGAGAAGGCTAGAAAGTCTGATGACAAGAAGTATATGAAAAAGTTCCAGTTAATTATGATCAGAAAGTAGTACAAAAATTTAAAATAACCTAAAAATTTAATACCCTGGACACTTTTTGTACAATTTTTTCTTTATAGTTTCAGGCCCAATGCTTGATTTAATATTGAATAATAGTTATATAAGCATAAAACTATAAATGTCATTTATATTGGTAATGTGAAAAAGAGAATAAAACCACAAAAATTTCATTGTTAAAAGAAGTAGTGGAGGAGAAACTAATGTGTTAAGTTCTATAAAATTCCAGTAGTAGTATTCAAAAAATACTTAAAAATCTGATTAAAAATTAGTGAATAATATTTTAAAACATAATAGCAACCACTAAAATAATTTAAAAATGGAAACTAAGAAAGATTTTCTCTGAACATGGGGCCAGAAACCTAGGAAAGTTGTCTTTTGCTATATTTTTTTAGTCTTCTGAAGCATTTGAATTATTTTCACCATGTACAAATGTGAATTTATGAAAAAATAGGTAATTATTTTATTGATGGCATAAAGAAAAATCAAGAAAGTAGACACCTTTTTTTCATACACTCTAATGATAATAATATGTTTAGTTTGTCTGCTAATCTTTCCCCCTGATAGCTTAGTGGAACTGACTAGAATAGCAGTCCTCAAAATTCAAGCCTTTGGAAAAAATGTGTCATGATTAGAACTAAGACCAGAATGAAATTGGTTATTTAAGTCAATGCAGGATAGTTCAAATATAAAAATGAGTGCAGTGGTAAAAATGCTACCTTCACTAGATGTATGAAGCTTGAATGTGGAATCAGCACTGCACTGTACCAGATGAAAAAATGTGCCTAATATATGGATCCCACTTTTATTTGGCAATATAACAAATTGTGTTATAAATATACTTTCAACAAATGTTTATTAAACACTTTGTGTGCTTCATGAACTTACTTATTTCACTTAACCACTGAATTCCCCATTTTCACCAATCAATGGATGATTTTTTTTACCATGATGCCATGATTTCTAATTTTATTTTACAAATAAAAAACAAGCTAGAACACTATATAAATAGTGGATTTATTTTTCCCCCTTCTACCAATATGTACTATATCAAATATTGACTTTCAGATAATCTGTATCCTAATTCTAGGCATCTATTGCTGACTTCCTTCAATATATATCATTCATTCATTAATTTATCCAGAAAATTTTCTTTCATAATAACTATGCACCGGACATGGTTCTATGCTTTAGGCAAAGACCAGTGAACAACAACAAAAATCCAAATCTCTGTGGAGTTTACTTTATAAAATCATATTATTTCACAAACACGACTCTCACTTTTAGGATACCCTTATTGTTCAACCCACACTTTTAAGGAATGCTAATGGTGACAGTGATATATAAAACTACTCTTCTGTTTTCAAAGAGGAAAATCAGATTAAGGAAAAATGAACAATTTATCTAAAATCAAATAGCAGCAGACTTCTTGACCTAAACATAAGAGATAATTGTTTTAGTCTTCCTGAGTTTAGTCAAAAATCTAATCTGTAAATTATATAAATAGTTTCTGTGCATTGTCATGGAAAATTAAAATTATATATACATGAAAAACTAGAGTAGGCCATAGCCCTGTGAAATATATAGTGTATGGAAGGCCTATAATTTGTATCTTAAAATCTAGAAATGAAAAAGGTAATTAAGACTTCGGTCACACTAAGGTGGGATTTTTTTTCCCCCAAGTTAAGTAATATTAGAGCAATTACCATGTCAGTGAAGTTTTTCAGGTACTTTTTTTTTTACATTTCTTACTTATATTCCCTAAAGTAAAAGGAATAATTAACTGAAATCCAATTAGTGTAGACTTAGAACACCTGTTTCTGAAATCCTTTGAATAACTTTATCATATTATTATTTTTTCTTGGTCTTTGTTTTAAGATGAAACACGTATCCCTATCCAGTTGCTCCTAGGAGCTGGGAGATTTGCATATCACATAGAAGAAAAGTACCTGTTTGTAAAAGAAACACAAAGATTAAAAAGACCAAAAGAGTTGTAGATATATTACAGCAGCTACTGTAACTTAACCCTATTTTGACCAAACACAAATTTGTAAAAACTTCCTCACAGCTTGAAAAAATAATTTAATTTAGAAGAGAATAATATGGACCCCACTTTAAAAAATATACATAATAAAGTTATGGTCCAAATTGCACATCAAAGAAGAAAACAAAGCATTTTGATAGGGGAGGAAATATTTGATATAGTATATTTCAAATAGTAGTTTTACTGTGATAGCAGCAATGGTAAATTATGGTAGTTCATATAAATCAACAACAGATCAAAGAATAAATATCTCACTGAAAAAGGCAACAAAAATAAGGAAAAGTATAAGGATAAGGAAGATACAAAATGAAAAAGTATGAAGTATGTCAATCATTTCACTAAATGCTGGGTTAAATTTTCTTATTACATAACAAAAACATCTAATCAGGTTTAAAAGCAAAATTCAGTTATATTCTGGAAAGCAAACAATCTTGCAGACTTGGAAATTAAAAACCCATTTCTTATTAACCCTTGAATAGAAAAGGAAATCAAAGGAAAAGTACAAATTGTCTAGAAAGCAAAGCAAAGGAAGGCAGCTCATAAGAAAAATATGAACACCAAAGTGTCCTTGCAATAAAATGTGAGTAGATAAATGTTTCTGAGAGGCAATAGATCTTCAATTCTTCTTCTGTGACACTGGAAAGTTACCTCTATTTACAAATGACTGTTTTAAGAAGTTTACTTACATTACCCAAGTACCCTGGCCTCATGATCCACATTTGCAAATCCAGTTCAAGACCTTCTAGATGATTTCCTTCCAACTTCCCTTTAACCAAATCCTTCTGACTATTGCGTTCATGATTTACCCTCAGAAGGTAAGAAAGAGAAGAGAGCTATAAGAAAGTTCATGTATCTAACCGTTCACAACTACAGAAAGAATTGATGTGGGAATGGGTTAAAAGAAATGATGAAATGTACTCTGGAATACCAATACATTGGTATCAATAATTCTAAAAGGCTTTCACTTAGATCTATTCCTATACATAATTTTTAATCTAAAGAAATATTCTTTAGAAAGAAAATTTATAAATACATGATTCAGAGCAGGTATCAAAATATAGATGAAGATGATACAATAAAGCTTCAACTAATCTATGTGAGATAACCAGAATATATTAAGTTTAAATGATTTTTTAAAGCTCTGCCACCATTTGGAACTTCATTTTTCAATAGACATATAATGTGAGCCAGATATGTAATTTAAAATTCTCTAGTAGCCATGTGCAAGCAAGTAAAAAAAAAATTAGTGAAATTAAGCCAGGAGGGGTGGTACATGCCTGTAGTCCCAGCTATTAGGGAGGCTGAGATGGGAGGATCACTTGAGCTCAGGAGTTTGAGACTAGCTTATGCAACACTGTGAGACCCTATCTCTTAAAAAGAAAAAAAATAGGAAATGGATGACATTAATTTTCATTATATATTTTATTTAACCCACTATATCTCAAACATTATTTCAAGGTATAATCAATAGAAAAAGTGATTCATGAGTGCTACAGATAGTTTGGATGTTTGTTTCCCAAACCTCATGTTGAAATTTGAAATTTAATCCTCAATGTTGGAGGTGGTGCCTAATGAGAGATATTTGGGTAATGGGGTGAATTCCTTATGAATATATTAATCCCTTCCCTGGGGGCTTGGAGAGTGAGTTTTTGCTCTATCAGTTCCTGAGACAGCTGGTTGTTAAAAGGAGCCCAGTACCTTCCTCCCTTCTCTCTTGCTTCCTCCCTTGCCATGTGATCTCTGCACACACGGGCTCCTCTTCAACCTTCTGCCCATAAGTGGAAGCAGCCTGAAGCCCTTACTAGAAGCAGATGCGGACATCATGCTTCCTATACAGCCTATAGTAGTTTGAGCTAAATAAACTTCTTTTCTTTGTAAATTACCCAGCTTCAGGCATTCCTTTATAGCAATGCAAACAAACAGACAATGAGATACTTTCCATTCTTTTTGTACTGTGTTTTCAAAGTTCAGTGTATATTTTTATTTATAGCACATTTCACTTTGGACACACCACATTTCAAGTGCTCAATATCCACATGTGCCAGAGCCTACCATTTTGGACAGCAGAGATTTAGAATACTTAGAGAGAGATCCAAAAATCTAGCAGCAATTTCCAGACCCATTGCTTTTAATTTATTGGTAGATCATTAAAATACTATTTCTATGTATAACAAGTCTACACATAGAAAGCCCATGCTGCTAAACTCTAGATCCTTTTGTGGCCAAAGAAGGTTTCC